>NC_000024.10:6042815-6343225 GCF_000001405.40 Homo sapiens | reverse complement strand
TGTGCACCCTGTCCAGAGAAAATGGATTCCTTCCGTCTTTTCTGCCACTGTGCTCACAACCGCAGGAATAAAAATTACTGCAGCTTCTTAGGTAACTCTCCCAAGTTCTGCCATATCTATCTCATAAATTGTTATAATCATGGTGGCTTCTTCCACCATAAGGCATCTGAGGCCCTTGGACAGGTGGTGCACCATCAGAGGTCCCTGCAGGGTTGATAAAATAATATGTTGGACTACATTTAAACATTTTTAGTGCTATCACTAAAGTATTAATTAGTTAAACTACTACTTGGAAATATCTGCTTTCCTCCGCCTTCATTTACAGATATTAATTATGCCTGCAATAGTCAGAAGGTTTTTTTTAAAAGAAGTGTAAGAGTAGTATTTTGAAGCTTAACAAATTTAATTCTAAAGTAAACGTTGAATCACATTTAACTGAACGTGAAATGAAATTCTCACCTTTATATCATTCCCTACACTTTATGCTGTTAAGAATACTCAATATTTAAACATGTTATATTTGTCCTTTATAATTTCCTTAGTTTTCTTTAAAATAATGATCTGGTCTATTTAATATAATTCTATAATTTAAAAATCCAACCTGGACTCATACCATAACTCTGAAATGCATCTCTGTAAGAACTTCCACTTGGACATTCAGAATGTTCTCTACCTCACAGCAGCCATCAAGATCACTAAATTGAAAAAAAAAAAAAAGGTTTCTTTTGTCAGAATGAACAATTTAAGAAATCTGTTTTATAAATCCACAAAACATTATAGTACCTATATAGTACTTATATAGTACCTATATCCTCTAAAGGAATGTTCATCCTGACTCAAACGACTGTAATAATGGTATGCATAGCCTCTAGGTGTTAGAGCATAATCCCTCATTTCTTGGGAACTTGGATGATTTCTGTGTGCATAAGTTTAAGCAATAAATTTTAAATTTTCAAATTCTAGTGTCCAAAATATCCATCATAACTAAATTACAGCATACATAATACCTAAATTACAACTTAAACAAAATTAAAGGGCCAAACAGCTAAATAGATATTTCTCCAAATAAAATAGCCAAATGTCTCAAAATCGCATGAAACAGATACTCATAATCTGTGATTCAGAAATACATTTCAAATCCAAAATGAGATACCATAATTCACGTACACACTGGAAAGGCAATAAATTTTAAAAAGCAGGAAATAGTAAGTGTTTGAGAAAATGTAGATAAATTGATACATTGATGCAATGTTAGTTGGAATGAACAATTCAAGAACTCTATTTGGCAAATGCAGAAAGTATTATTATAGTACCTATTTCCTGTAGAGGAATGTTCATCCTGACTAGAATGACCATAATCACGGTATGCATAGTCTCTAGATGGTGGAGCATAATCCCTAGATTCTGAGGAACCTGGATGATTACTGTGTGCATAAGTGTATGCAACAAATTTTAAATTTTCAACTTCTGGTATCCAAAACATAACTAACTTACAACTTAAACAAAATTAAAAGGCCAAACATCTAAATGGATATTTCTCCAAATAAAATAGACAAATGCCCAAAAAGCACATGGAACAGACACTCATAATCAATGATTCAGAAAATGCATTTCAATTGAGAGGATGTAGATAAACTGGAACCCTGATACAGTGCTAGCTGGAATGGAAAATGATGCAGCTCTATAGAGAAATGTGGTGGTTCCTCAAGAACACACACATAATTATCATAGGGCCAAGCAATTCCACTTCTATATATACCCAGAATTGATTAAGTGTGCCCAAACAAATATTGGTTCATAGAAATACTGGGGTGGAAACAACTCAAATAAAATGATCGGTTAACAGCTTGTGGAAGAAATGAAGTGCTATGACATATGTGAACCTTCTGGACATCATGAAAAAGGAAAACAGACAGTAAAAAAGTCATGTAGTGTTTGACCCCATTAACATTAAATGCCCACAACAGGTATGTGCACAGGCAGAACACAGATTGGTGTTTGCTAGCAGCTGAGGGAAGGGAGAAAATGAAGGACTGCTTAACTAGTAGTTGGAATTTTAGTTTGGAGTCATGAAAATGTTTTGGAACTCGATGGAGGTAGTTGCTGCACTACACAGAAGGTATCTAACTCCGCTTAACTGTTTACCTTATAATATTTAATTTTGTTAAGTGAATTTCATCACCACAACAAAAAAAAATTAACTATTTTTTCTTTCTTTTTTTTTTTTTTACCTATCCTTAGTTGCATAACCAACATCTTTTGATGACACATGGTCATTTCTCCAGGAAAAGACTGACTGTCTCTGTGGAGGAACTCCATAATTCTCTCTTCCATTACATTTAATATTAAAATGATGGAACATAATGTAAAGAACACGAAATCTGAAACATTATTTTCTCTTCTCTCAAACAACTTTTTAAAATTATTTCATCTACGTCTCCATTCTTTTTTTCCCTAAATTACTAGAAAATCATGACACTGTGAATATTTCTTATGGCCTTGGATAACCCCATGGCTCCTGCAAGGCCAGTTCTTCTAACAAAGCTGAAGGCAGATGTTAATTCTTTTGTAAAAGTTCATTTTAATGTTTAATAACTACTTAGTTATTATTTTCCTTTTTATAGAATTACTAATGAATACTAATGACACATGGAAAATGTAAAACCATCAAACTCTCCACTGATTTTAAAGTTTACATACATTGTCCTTTCTCAGCTGAAGAAGGTAAATTTTCCCATGTTGTTCAGTCCATCTCACACACACAAATACTGCCACCTTTGAATGACTGCATGCTAAACTTTTACCTAAAAGTTCTCCTTTATCTCTAAGTGGTTGGCTCTATCTTAAATGTTGGCAAATTAAAATATACTAGTGAAGATTTTCTAATGATGACCAAGATTTTCTTATACTGCAATAAGCAATAGTGTTCAAGGGGTCATTATCACATTGTTGTTATTTCAAAATAGAAAAGGTTCTCCTTTAATATACTCTTCACGTGCTACTCCTTAGAGGTCTGTCTTTCACTTATAATATGTTCACTGGCTAATTTTCCTATGGAAATGTGTTGGCTTGTGTATCCTGAAGACAATAAATAACTAACTTCACTGATACTCTACACATGAAATGTAAAATTAAAAATGGCAGTTTTCATTTTCCTCCATCTTAGGATGGAGGACAAAGTAAGAATTTTATTTTGTTCTGCTAAACGTCGTCCCTAAGAATTTTTATTTATTGTCTTGTTTTCTTCTGTTCAGTCTGCAATCTTACAATTCTCCTTCTCAAAAATATTACTTCTATTCGATCCTACTGTTCAACTCTTGTTGCTTAGTTCTAAATTCTCACCTCAAATAATTTCAAATCTTACACTAAGGTCTTGTGTTAATGTTTAAACATCCAGGTACAATCTTAATTATTGATTTACATCCCCTTATATTTCATAACTCTACACTTCTGTGATATCCACTTAATTTAAGAATATTGGACTCCTTCATGTCTAACTTACAAGCCTTAAATTATTTTTTAAATAATGTTTAAGCTCAGTGAATCTTTTTCTGCTAAATATTCTTGCAGTTCTTTTCAATCTTTATATAAGCAGGAAAAATGCCTCACGGATTAGAATTATTGAGGTCTCAAAACCTAGATGGCCAGGCTAACTGGCTAACACTGTGGGCCAGTGTGGAAGGGTGAGGCACCTGGACTGCTTGAGCCCCGGGCTTTAATGTCAGTTTTGTCAATGTGGTGAGATCCTCTCTCTACAAAAATATAGGGGAAAAAACTTAGCTAGATATGGTGGTGCATGGCTATAGTTGCAGCAACTCAGGAAAATGAAACAGGAGAATTGCCTGAGCCCAGGAGTTTAAGGCTGTAGTAAGCCATCATCTCACCTATGCACTCTGACCTCATAAGAGCAAGACTCCAACCCAACAAAGGAACTGAACAAGCAATTTTTAGAATGGGACACCAGGGAACCACTACCAGGGGACCTAGGAAATGGAAGAATTCATTAGATGAAGAAGACTACAATCAAAGAATACTGCTAGGAACTGTTAGAATTATTAAGGGGAATTCTCTAGCAAACACAGGATTAAAAGTAATGTTGGCCTCACTCTAATAACTTATTTCACCTGCAATGAGAAGCTCAAGTATTTCTTTACCATAAATCTGAAATGTAGTTAGTGATATATAAACCATAATAAAAGGTATCAGTCTGAATTATGCCCATGTATGTGTCACTCCTCTTTCGTTCGATGAAGTTAAAGTTAAGCATTCAAGTAAAATAGCTTATTTTTAGTCATACGAAAAATACTGTCTTTCTCTCTGGTAGCACTTACCTTGGCCTCCCATCCAACTACTGCTTCTTGCCACAGCAGGAGCAGATTTTGTAGGAGGAGGACCTCCACTTCTTGAAGGTGGACCGCTTTTAACTGGAATGTGCCCCCTAGAAGAACTCATGTTGAGATCAAGAGTTTATCCACCATCATCTGTATTTCAAACAAAATCTTTTTAGTTGACTAACATCACTGTTTCTTAAATAGCTAAGTTTTAGTTGTTTATAAAGATTTTCTACATATTATAATCTTACAAATTCACATTTGTCTAAACTAATAAAATTAACATTTTTATATGAAATAAGTACAATTCAAGCAATAAAAGTCCATTTAGAAAATCTAGAAAGAAACACAAGAATCATAATATGTTTGCGTGAGAGAGAGATGTGGAAAAAGTGGGGAGTGAACAGGGAGCAGAAAACTATCAGTAAAATATCTAAGTATAATATATATAAAAACATTGAAAGAAAAATGATAAATGACTGTTTATATCATTCTCTTATGAGGAAAAATTTTCAAAGCATATCATAAAGATAAACTAAATTCCATTCAAAGAAACTCAGATATTTACAATATCAAAAGGTGACACATCAGGAAAATATATTATCTCTAAAATTTGTTAACATAATATTGAATTCTTACAATTCCCTTATGAAACACTAATTTTCAGGTTAGACTATGCTAAATATTAATAATCTTTAAGAATTCCATATTAAATAATATGAAAAAATATTTTTATATATCTACAAAAAATGTAGATATATGCCAATTGCCAGGCAGTGTTACAGGTTAGAATATGCACATTCTTATCCACGGCAGAATATTATTGAACCTCACCCTCAAGACCAATGGAGACAAAATAATCATGAAGCTGTGTTTCTTAAAATGGAGCAAACACTGCAATTTCAACTTTAAAAAACATCTCCCATTAATTAAAAATCTGGTTACTAAACTCAAAATTAAATGATATATATTTGAAGGTTGATTAGTAGATAATAAAAGTTTAAAAATGGATTTATTATTTATTGAGATGGACTCTTGCCATATCCCACAGGCTTGAGTGCAAAGTCGTGACCTTGGCTCACTGCAGCTTCCACCTGCCAGTTTTCAGTGATTCTCCTGCCTCAGTCTCCCGAGTACCTGGGATTAGAGGTGGAAATCACCACACCAGATATATCTATATCAATATCTATCTATATATATAATATGTTTATATTATATATAAATACATGAAATATATTTATTTCTATATATAAATACATGAAATATATATATTTTCATACATAAATACATGAAATATATATATTTTCATATATGAATACATGAAATATATTTATTTTCATATATGAATACATGAAATATATTTATTTTCATATATGAATACATGAAATATATTTATTTTCATATATGAATACATGAAATATATTTATTTTCATATATAAATATATAATATATTTATTTTCATATATAAATATAAATATATTTATTTTCATATATAAATATAAATATATTTATTTTCATATATAAATATATATTTATTTTCATATATAAATATATAATATATTTATTTTCATATATAAATATATAATATATTTATTTTCATATATAAATATATAATATATTTATTTTTATACATAAATATATATTTATTTTTATACATAAATATATTATATATTTGTTTTTATATATAAATATATTATATATTTGTTTTTATATATAAATATATTATATATTTGTTTTTATATATAAATATATAATATATTTATTTTTATACAAATATATAATATATTTATTTTATATTTATATATAAATATATATTTATTTTTATATAAATATATAATATATTTATTTTTATATATAAATACGTTATATATATATATATTTTCCTTTTATTATATTTTAAGTTTTAGGGTACATGTGCACATTGTGCAGGTTAGTTACATATGTATACATGTGCCATGCTGGTGCGCTGCACCCACTAACTCGTCATCTAGCATTAGATATATCTCCCAATGCTATCCCTCCCCCCTCCCCACACCCCACAACAGTCCCCAGAGTGTGATGTTCCCCTTCCTGTGTCCATGTGATCTCATTGTTCAATTCCCACCTATGAGTGAGAATATGCGATGTTTGTTTTTTGTTCTTGTGATAGTTTACTGAGAATGATGATTTCCAATTTCACCCATGTCTCTACAAAGGACATGAACTCATCATTTTTTATGGCTGCATAGTATTCCATGGTGTATATGTGCCACATTTTCTTAATCCAGTCTATCATTGTTGGACATTTGGCTTGGTTCCAAGTCTTTGCTATTGTGAATAGTGCCAAAATAAATATATGTGTCCATCTGTCTTTATAGCAGCATGATTTATAGTCCTTTGGGTATATACCCAGTAATGGGATGGCTGGGTCAAATGGTATTTCTAGTTCTAGATCCCTGAGGAATCGCCACATTGACTTCCACAATGGTTGAACTAGTTTACAGTCCTACCAACAGTGTACAAGTGTTCCTATTTCTCCACATCCTCTCCAGCACCTGTTGTTTCCTGACTTTTTAATGATCGCCATTCTAACTGGTGTGAGATGGTATCTCATTGTGGTTTTGATTTGTATTTCTCTGATGGCCAGTGATGATGAGCATTTTTTCATGTGTTTTTTGGCTGCATAAATGTCTTCTTTTGGGAAGTGTCTGTTCATATCCTTTGCCGACTTTTTGATGGGGTTGTTTGTTTTTTTCTTGTAAATTTGTTGGAGTTCATTATAGATTCTGGATATTAGCCCTTTGTCAGATGAGTAGGTTGCAAAAATTTTCTCCCATTTTGTAGGTTGCCTGTTCACTCTGATGGTAGTTTCTTTTGCTGTACAGAAGCTCTTTAGTTTAATTGGATCCCATTTGCATATTTTGTCTTTTGTTGCCATTGCTTTTGGTGTTTTAGCCATGAAGTCCTTGCCCATGCTTATGTCCTGAATGGTATTGCCTAGGTTTTCTTCTAGGGTTTTTATGGTTTTAGGTCTAACATTTAAGTCTTTAATCCATCTTGAATTGATTTTTGTATAAGGTGTAAGGAAGGGATCCAGTTTCAGCTTTCTACATATGGCTAGCCAGTTTTCCCAGCACCATTTATTAAATAGGGAATCCTTTCCCCATTGTTTGTTTTTCTCAGGTTTGTCAAAGATCAGATAGTTGTAGATATGTGGTGTAATTTCTGAGGGCTCTGTTCTGTTCCACTGATGTGTATCTCTGTTTTGGTACCAGTACCATGCTGTTTTGGCTACTGTAGCCTTGTAGCATAGTTTGAAGTCAGGTAGTGTGATGCCTCCAGCTTTGTTCTTTAGGATTGACTTGGTGATGTGGGCTCTCTTTTGGTTCCATATGAACTTTAAAGTAGTTTTTTCCAATTCTGTGAAAAAAGGCATTGGTAGCTTGATGGGGATGGCATTGAATCTGTAAATGACCTTGGGCAGTATGGCCATTTTCACGATATTGATTCTTCCTATCCATGAGCATGGAATGTCCTTCCATTTGTTTGTATCCTCTTTTATTTCCTTGAGCAGTGGTTTGTAGTTCTCCTTGAAGAGGTCCTTCACATCCCTTGTAAGTTGGATTCCTAGGTATTTTATTCTCTTTGAAGCAATTGTGAATGGGAGTTCACTCATGATTTGGCTCTCTGTTTGTCTATTGTTGGTGTATAAGAATGCTTGTGACTTTTGTACATTGATTTTGTATCCTGAGACTTTGCTGAAGTTGCTTATCAGCTTAAGAAGATTTTGGGCTGAGACAATGGGGTTTTCTAGATATACAATCATGTCGTCTGCAAACAGGGACAATTTGACTTCCTCTTTTCCTAATTGAATAACCTTTATTTCCTTCTCCTGCCTAATTGCCCTGGCCAGAACTTCCAACACTATGTTGAATAGGAGTGGTGAGAGAGGACATCCCTGTCTTGTGCAAGTTTTCAAAGGGAATGCTTCCAGTTTTTGCCCATTCAGTATGATATTGGCTGTGGGTTTGTCATAGATAGCTCTTATTATTTTGAAATATGTCCCATCAATACCTAATTTATTGAGAGTTTTTAGCATGAAGTGTTGTTGAATTTTGTCAAAGGCCTTTTCTGCATCTATTGAGATAATCATGTGGTTTTTGTCTTTGGCTCTGTTTATATGCTGGATTACATTTATTGATTTGTGTATATTGAACCAGCCTTGCATCCCAGGGATGAACCCCACTGGATCATGGTGGATAAGCTTTTTGATATGCTGCTGGATTCGTTTTGCCAGTATTTTATTGAGGATTTTTGCATCAGTGTTCATCAAGGATATTGGTCTAAAATTCTCTTTTTTGGTTGTGTCTCTGCCCAGCTTTGGTATCAGAATGATGCTTGCCTCATAAAATGAGTTAGGGAGGATTCCCTCTTTTTCTATTGATTGGAATAGTGTCAGAAGGAATGGTATCAATTCCTCCTTGTACCTCTTGTAGAATTCGGCTGTGAATCCATCTGGTCCTGGACTCTTTTTGGTTGGTAAGCTATTGATTATTGCCACAACTTCAGATCCTGTTATTGGTCTATTCAGAGATTCAACTTCTTCCTGGTTTAGTCTTGGGGGAGTGTACGTGTCAAGGAATTTATCCATTTCTTCTAGATTTTCTAGTTTATTTTTGTAGAGGTGTTTGTAGTATTCTCTGATGGTAGTTTGTATTTCTGTGGGATCGGTCATGATATCCCCTTTATCATTTTTTATTGCATCTATTTGATTCTTCTCTCTTTTTTCTTTATTAGTCTTGCTAGCAGTCTATTTTTATTTATTTTTATATATAAATATATAACATATTTATTTTTATATATAAGTATATAAAATACATTTATTTTTATATATAAGTATATAAAATACATTTATTTTTATATATAAGTATATAAAATACGTTTATCTTTATATAGAAATGCATAAAATATGTTTATCTGTATATAGAAATGAAAAAAGTACATTTATCTGTATATAGAAATGCATAAAATACGTTCATCTGTATATAGAAATACATAAAATACGTTTATCTGTATATAGAAATACACAAAATATGTTTATCTGAATCTAGAAATACATAAAATACATTTATCTGTATATAGAAATACATAAAATATGTTAATCTGTATACAGAAATACATAAAATACCTTTATTTTATAAAGAAATATATAAAATTATAAATATATATACAATATATGGTTTGATTTTCTTTTTTATGTAGAAATAACCCCTTATTTCTTTTGTGTAAATCACTCATGAATATCATTTTCAGAGACTCATCCTTCAGCAAAGAAAGATATATAGATATGTGTGAAGCAGTAGTTCTTAGACATTTCCAGAGTCACAGACTGTTTTCAGAAATTAAAGTTCTACATTTCTTCAATTGAAAACGCTTTATGGCAAGCCAATGTACAAACTCTGTTTATCAAAATTACAAAGCGATTCATCTGCATAGATGTTTGCACAGGTATACACACATAAAAAATGAAATATTGAAAAATCAATCTTAAGTACTGAGTTACTTTTTTCCCATTTGAAAACTGTAAATATTCCATTGTATTTTGATAATAAAACTGATTTGAATTTCTGGGCCCTGGAGTAGAAAACTCTAAAGTATAATAAATATAAATGAGTTATGCAGAAAACCAGTTGAGTACAGGCAATCAGCATTCATAAAATCAATTCAGTTTGAAATCTGTGTTATTTCTTGAAGGGATTTTCTGTCTCTATTTCCTTCAGTTCTGCTCTGATTTTAGTTATTTCTTGCCTTCTGATAGCTTTCGAATGTGTTTGCTCTTGCTTTTCTAGTTATTTTAATTGTGATGTTAGGGTGTCAATTTTGCATCTTTCCTGCTTTCTCTTGTGGGCATTTAGTGCTATAAATTTCCCTCTACACAGTGCTTTGAATGTGTCCCAGAGATTCTGGTATGTTGTGTCTTTGTTCTTGTTGGTTTCAAAGAACATCTTTATTTCTGCCTTCATTTCGTTATGTATCCAGTAGTCATTCAGGAGCAGGTTGTTCAGTTTCCATGTAGTTGAGCGGTTTCGAGTGAGTTTCTTAATCATGATTTCTAGTTTGATTGCACTGTGGTCTGAGAGACAGTTTGTTATAATTTCTGTTCTTTTACATTTGCTGAGGAGAGCTTTACTTCCAACTATGTGGTCAATTTTGGAATAGGTGTGGTGTGGTGCTGAAAAAAAAGTATATTCTGTTGACTTGGGGTGGAGAGTTCTGTAGATGTCTATTAGGTCTGCTTAGTGCAGAGCTGAGTTGAATTCCTGGGTATCCTTTTTAACTTTCTGTCTTGTTGATCTGTCTAATGTTGACAGTGGGGTGTTAAAGTGTCCCATTATTATTGTGTGGGAGTCTAAGTCTCTTTGTAGGTCACTCAGGACTTGCTTTATGAATCTGGGTGCTCCTGTATTGGGTGCATATATATTTAGGATAGTTGGCTCTTCTTGTTGAGTTGCTCCCTTTACCATTATATAATGGCCTTCTTTGTCTCTTTTGATCTTTGTTGGTTTAATGTCTGTTTTATCAGAGACTAGGATTGCAACCTCTGCCTTTTTTTATTTTCCATTTGCTTGGTAGCTCTTCCTCCATCCTTTTATTTTGAGCCTATGTGTGTCTCTGCAGGTGAGATGGGTTTCCTGAATACAGCACACTGATGGGTCTTGACTCTTCATCCAATTTGCCAGTCTGTGTCTTTTAATTAGAGCATTTAGTCCATTTACATTTAAAGTTAATATTGTTATGTATGAATTTGATCCTGTCATTACGATGTTAGCTGGTTATTTCACTCGTTAGTTGATGCAGTTTCTTCCTAGCCTCAATGGTCTTTACAATTTGGTATGATTTTGCAGTGGCTGCTACTGGTTGTTCCTTTCCACATTTAGTGCTTCCTTCAGGATCTCTTTTAGGGCAGGCCTGGTGGTGACAAAATCTCTGAGCATTTGCTTGTGTGTAAAGTGTTTTATTTCCCCTTCACTTAGGAAGCTTAGTTTGGCTGAATATGAAATTCTGGGTTGAAAATTATTTTCTTTAAGAATGTTGAATATTGGCTCCCCCTCTCTTCTGACTTGTAGAGTTTCTGAGGAGAGATCCACTGTTAGTCTGATGGCTTCCCTTTGTGGGTAACCTGTCCTTTCTCTCTGGCTGCCCTTAACATTTTTTCCTTCATTTCAACTTTGGTGAATCTGACAATTATGTGTCTTGGAGTTGCTCTTCTTGAGGAGTATCTTTGTGGCATTCTCTGTATTTCCTGAATCTGAATGTTGGCCTGCCTTGCTAAAATGGGGAAGTTCTCCTGGATAATATCCTGCAGAGTGTTTTCCAACTTGGTTCCATTCTCCCCGTCACTTTTAGGTACACCAGTCAGATGCAGACTTGGTCTTTTCACATAGTCTCATATTTCTTGGAGGCTTTGTTCATTTCTTTTTATTCTTTTTTCTCTAAACTGCATGAATCCAGGAGCTCATTTTTTGAAAGGATCAACAAAATTGACAGACCACTAGCAAGACTAATAAAGGAAAAAAAGAGAAGAATCAAATAGATGCAATAAAAAATGATAAAGGGGATATCACCACTGATCCCATAGAAATACAAACTACCATCAGAGAATACTATAAACACCTCTACAAAAATAAACTAGAAAATCTAGAAGAAATGGAAAAATTCCTCGACATATACACTCTCCCAAGACTAAACCAGCGAGAAGTTGAATCTCTGAATAGACCAATAACAGGATCTGAAATTGTGGCAATAATCAATAGCTTACCAACCAAAAAGAGTCCAGGACCAGGTGGATTCACAGCCGAATTCTACCAGAAGTACAACAAGAAACTGGTACCATTCCTTCTGAAACTATTCCAATCAATAGAAAAAGAGGGAATCCTCCCTAACTCATTTTATGAGGCAAGCATCATCCGGATACGAAAGCCGGCAGAGACACAGCCAAAAAAGAGAATTTTAGACCAATATCCTTGATGAACATTGATGCAAAAATCCTCAATAAAATACTGGCAAACTGAATCCAGCAGCACATCAAAAAGCTTATCCACCATGATCAAGTGGGCTTCATTCCTGGGATGCAAGGCTGGTTCAATATATGCAAATCAATAAATGTAATCCAGCATATAAACAGAACCAAAGACAAAAACACATGATTTTCTCAATAGATGCAGAAAAGGCCTTTGACAAAATTCAACAACCCTTCATGCTAAAAACTCTCAATAAATTAGGTACTGATGGGATATATCTCAAAATAATAAGAGTTATCTATGACAAACCCACAGCCAATATCATACTGAATGGGCAAAAACTGGAAGCATTCCCTTTGAAAACATGCACAAGACAGGGATGTCCTCTCTCACCACTCCTATTCAACATAGTGTTGGAAGTACTGGCCAGGGCAATTAGGCAGGAGAAGGAAATAAACGGTATTCAATTAGGAAAAGAGGAAGTCAAATTGTCCCTGTTTGCAGATGACATGATTGTGTATCTAGAAAACCCCATTGTCTCCCCCCAAAATCTCCTTAAGCTGATAAGCAATTTCAGCAAAGTCTCAGGATACAAAATCAATGTACAAAAATCACAAGCAGTCTTATACACCAATAACAGACAGAGAGCGAAATCATGAGTGAACTCCCATTCACAATTGCTTCAAAGAGAATAAAATACTTAGGAATTCAACTTACAAGGGACGTGAAGGACCTCTTCAAGGAGAACTACAAACCACTGCTCAATGAAATAAAAGAGGATAGAAACAAATGGAAGAACATTCCATGCTCATGGGTAGGAAGAATCAATATCATGAAAATGGCCATAATGCCCAAGGTAATTTATAGATTCAATGCCATCCCCATCAAGCTACCAATGACTTTTTTCACAGAATAGGAAAGAACTACTTTAAAGTTCATATGGAACCAAAAGAGAGCCTGCATCTCCAAGTCAATCCTAAGCCAAAAGAACAAAGCTGGAGGCATCACACTACCTGACTTCAAACTATACTACAAGGCTACAGTAACCAAAACAGCATGCTACTCGTACCAAAACAGAGATATAGATCAATGGAACAGAACAGAGCCCTCAGAAATAATGCCACATATCTACAACTATCTGAATTTTGACAAACCTGAGAAAAACAAGCAATGGGGAAAGGATTCCCTATTTAATAAATGGTGCTGGGAAAACTGGCTAGCCATATGTAGAAAGCTGAAATTGGATCCCTCCCTTACACCTTATACAAAAGTTAATTCAAGATGGATTAAAGACTTACATGTTAAATGTAAAACCATAAAAGCTCTAGAAGAGAACCGAGGAAATCCCATTAAGGACATTGGCATGGGCAAGGACTTCATGTCTAAAACACCAAAAGCAGTGGCAACAAAAGCCAAAATTGACAAATGGGATCTAATTAAACTAAAGAGCTTCTGCACACCAAAAGAAACTACCATCAGAGTGGAGAGCAACCTACAGAATGGGAGAAAATTTTTGCAACCTACTCATCTGACAAAGGGCTAATATCCAGAATCTACAATGAACTCAAACAAATTTACAAGAAAAAAACAAACAACCCCATCAACAAGTGGGCAAAGGATATGAACAGACACTTCTCAAAAGAAGACATTTATGCAGCCAAAGGACACATGAAAAAATGATCATCATCACTGGCCATCAGAGAAATGCAAATCAAAACCACAATGAGATACCATCTCACACCAGTTAGAATGGCAATCATTAAAAAGTCAGGAAACAACAGGTGCTGGAGAGGATGTGGAGAAATAGGAACACTTTTACACTGTTGGTGGGACTGTAAACTAGTTCAACCATTGTGGAAGTCGGTGTGGTGATTCCTCAAGGATCTAGATCTAGAAATACCATTTGACCCAGCCATCCCATTACTGGGTATATACCCAAATGACTATAAATCATGCTGCTATAAAGACACATGGACACATATGTTTATTGTGGCACTATTCACAATAGCAAAGACTTGTAACCAAGCCAAATGTCCTACAATGATAGACTGGATTAAGAAAATGTGGCACATATACACCATGGAATACTATGCAGCCACAAAAAATGATGAGTTCATGTCCTTTGTAGGGACATGGGTGAAACTGGAAATCATCATTCTCAGTAAACTATCACAAGGACAAAAAACCAAACACCACATGTTCTCACTCATAACTGGGAATTGAACAATGAGAACACATGGACACAGGAAGGGGAACATTACACTCTGGGGACTGTTGTGGGGTGGGTGGAGGAGGTAGGGATAGCATTAGGAGATATACCTAATGCTAAATGATGAGTTAATGGGTGCAGCACACCAGCATGGCACATGTATACATATGTAACTAACCTGCACATTGTGCACATGTACCCTAAAACTTTAAGTATAATAATAATAATAAAAGAAATCTGTGTTATTTCAATGCAAAGTTGTTACAATTTTAAAATGAATTTTAGATATTAATTCAATCATTCTTATAATACACCTTTAGTAATTAGAGATAATTGTGCTTATCAATAATTAATATTCTGCTCATAAAGATAATAAATAAAATTGAGAAATTTTGATACCTTCAAACTTGTTTTCTTTCAGTCCCATGGTTCCACCTTTATATTTTAAAACATTACCCAAGTGTTCTTCATGTGAGGGCAGCCACGCTCTTTTTCCTCCACTACTTCCTCTTGCAGATCTCAGATTTGCTGACGGGCTTCTGTTTCTTGAAGAAGGTGGTGGTCTCCGCCTACCACCACTTTGAAAAGACGGTTTTTTGGCTTATTCTACTTTTATTGCTTTTCGATCCAAAGACTAAAAGTACTAAGGGTACCATCAATAACATTGGCACATTTAACATAAGCACATTTACAAACATTTTTACATCAACTACAGTTCATAGTTAATTAGGTGACAGGAAAATGTTGGAAGAAGTGTTTTGAAGTCACTTTGTCTTTAAAAATGCTTTACTTGAGCAAGGACTAAACCGTTGAGGAAGTAATCTAGGAATATATTTGGAGGAAGAGAATTCCAGGCAGAGAAAATAACCATTGAAATAATTCTGAAACTAGAATTAAGCAAATAGTCATACTGCCATCATGTGGCAAGATGAACTAAGGAAAACTCTTAAGTGAGATCAAAGACAAATCCTTTTGATTTTATTCTGAGTATAATTCCGGCTACTGGGAGAACAAACTAAGCTACACGTGAGTGTCCGAATCAAGCAGAGAGACCAAACAAATGATGATGCTTCAACAAATGTAATGGCAGAGGAGGTGATACACACAGTCGTTTCATGTGACTGTATAAACCGTATACTTGGCTGAGGGCATAAGTAATAGTCAGATAATGATGTTGAATATGTAGGTGATTTTTTATTGTTACAACTTTCCTCTAAATTCCCTCTAGTATTTGGTTTTACTCTTTTAACCAGAGTTTCAATTATTTATGCCTAAGTGTTATATGGAACTCATTAGGTATGTACCATGTAAAATTTCTTACTGTCCATCCAGTAATATAAAATTTGCATGTGATAGAAAAGTATAATTTATATGTTTAAGTTAATATTTTATAATGTATGTATAAACCCCTTGTTATATAGCTAATTTATAAATATAAGTGTTCCAAAACATATATATGTATCTGTATACTTTATAATATATATGAATTGCATATAGATGAAATGTATGCATTATATATATTTTAATTCATGTATAGTATATGTCTATATGTATTTTTTATATACTTTAAGTTCTGGGGTACATGTATCGAACGTGCGGTTTTGTTACACTGGTATAAACCTGCCATGGTGGTTTGCTGCACCCATCAACTTGTCACACACATTAGGTATTTCTCCTACTGCTATACCTCCTCTAGCCCTCCACCCCTGGCAGGCCCTGGTGTATGATATTCCCCTCCCTGTGTCCATGTGTTCTCATTGTTCAACTGCAACTTATGAGTGAGAATATGTGGTGATTGGCTTCCGGTGCTGGTGTTAGTTTCCTGAGAATGGTGCTTTCTAGCTTCACCCATGTCCGTGCAAATGACATAAACTAATCTTATTTTATGGCTGCTTAGTATTCCATGGTGTATATGTGCCACATTTTCTTTATCCAATCTATCATTGATGGACATTTGAGTTGGTTCCATGTCTTTGCTATTGTGAACAATGTGTCAATAAACGTAAGTGTGCACGTGTCTTTATAGTAGAATTATTTATAATCCTTTGAGTACATAACCCATAATGACATTGCTGGGTCAAATGGTATTTCTAGTTTTAGAGCCTTGAGGAGTCACCAGACTGTATTCCACAGTGGTTGAACTAAGTTACACTCCCACCAACAGTGTAACAGCGTTCCTACTTATCCACATCCTCTCCAGCATCTGTTGTTTCCTGACTTTTTAATGATAGCCATTCTAACTGTCATGAGATAGTATCTCATTGTGGTTTTGATTTGCGTTTCTCTAATGACCAGGGATGATGAGCTTTTTTCATGTTTGTTGACTGCATAAATGTCCTCTTTTGGGAAGTATCTCTTCATACCCTTCACTCAGTTTTTGATGGGTTGGTTTAGTTTTTTTCTTGTAAATTTGTTTAAGTTCTTTGTAGATTGTGGATATTGGTCTGTTGTCAGATTAATATGTTATCCCTTGTCAGATGGCAACTTTATGGTGATAGCATTGAATCTATAAATTACTTTGCACTGTAGGGCCATTTTCATGATATTGATTCTTCCTATAATGAGCATGGAATGCTTTTCCACGTATTTGTGTCCTCTCTTATACCTTGAGCTGTGGATTGTAGTTCTCCTTGAAAAGGTCCTTCACATCCCTTGTGAGTTACTTTCCTAGGTATTTTATTCTCTTAGTAACAACTGTGTGTGTGAGATGACTGTGATTTGGCTCTCTGCTTGTCTGCTATTGGAGTATAGGAATGCTTGTGATGTATGCACATTGATTTTGTATCTTGAGACTTTCCTGAAGTTGCTTATAAGCTTAAGGAGATTTTGAGGTGAGACAGTGCAATTTTCTAAATATACAATCTTGTGATCTGCAAACAGAGACAATTTGATTTCTTCTCTTTCTCTTTGAATACACTTTCTTTCTCTTGTCTGATCGCCCTTGTCAGAACTTCCAAAACTGTGGTGAATAGGAATGGTGAGAGAGGGGGTAACCTTGTCTTGGGCAGGTTTTTAAATGGAAAGCTTCCAGGTTCTGCCATTCAGTATTATATTGGCTATGGTTTTGTCATGAGTAGCTTTATTATTCTGAAATGCATTCCATCAATACCTAGTTCACTGACAGTTTTTATCATGAAGTATGTTGAATTTTATCGAGGGGCTTTTCTGGATCTGTTGAGATAATCATGTGGTTTTTGTCATTGATTCTCTTTATGTGATGGATTAGGTTTATTGATTTGTGCATGTTGAATCAGCCTTGCATCCCAAGCATGAACGTGACTTCTTCATGGTGGATACACTTTTTGATATTCTGCTGGATTTGGTTTGCCAGTGTTTCATTGAGGATTTTTGCATCAATGTTCATCAGAGACATTGGCCTGAAATTTTCTTATTTTGCTGTGTCTCTGTCAGATGTTGATATCAGGATGATTCTGGCCTCATAAAATGAGTTAGGGTGGATTTCCTGTTTTTCTATTGTTTGGAATAGTTTCAGAAGGAATGGTACCAGCTCCTCTTTGTGCCTCTGGTAGAATTCTTCTGTGAACAACCTACTCTTCGACCTTTTGTTGTTGTTGTTGTTGATAGGCTCCTAATTACTGCCTCAATTTCAGAACTTGTTAGTGGTCTATTCAGAGATTCGATTTCTTCCTGGTTTAGATTTTGGAGGGTGTATGCATCCAGGAATTTATCCATTTCTTCTAAATTTTCTAGTTTATTTGCATAGAGGTGTTTACAGTATTCTCTGATGGTAGTTTGTATTTCTGTGGGATCAATGGTGATATCCCCTTTATCATTTTTTATTACGTCTGATTCTTCTCTCTTTTCTTCATTAGTCTGGCTAGTGGTCTATCTATTTTGTTGATCTTTTCAAAAAACCAGCTCCTGGATTCATTGATTTTTTTGAAGTGTTTTCATGTCTCTGTTTCCTTCAGTTCTGTTCTGATCTTATTTATTTTTGTCTTCTCCTAGCTTTTGAATTTGTTGCTTTTGCTTTTCTTGTTCTCTAGTTCTTTTAATGTTGATGTTAGTGTGCCAATTTAAGATGTTTCCTACTTTCTCTTCTGGACATTAAAAGTGCTATATATTTCCCTCAAAACACTGCTTTAAATGTTTCCCAGAGATTCTGGTATGCTGTGTCTTTGTCCTTATTGGTTTCAAATAACATCTTTATTTCTGCCTTCATTTCATTATGTACCCAGCAGTCATTGAGGAGCAGTTTGTTCAGTTTCCACATAGTTGTGCAGTTTTGAGTGAATTTTTAAATACTGAGTTCTAGTTTGATTGCACTGTGGCCTGAGAGACTGTTTGTTATGATTTCTATCCTTTCGCATTTGCTGAGGATTGTTTTACTTCCAACTATGTAGTCGATTTTACAATAAGTGTTTACTCTGAGTATAATTCTGGCTACTAGGAGAACAAACTGCAAGCTGCAAGTGGGCATCAGAATTAAACAGAGAGACTAAACAAATAATGATGGCATCAACAAATGTAATGGCAGAGGAGGTGACACAAACAGTCATTTCACATGATCGTATAAGTTGTGCTTTGCCTAAGACTGCTTGGCTAAAGGCATAAGTAATATTCAGATAATGATGTTGAGTATGTAGGTAATTTGTATTGTTTAGAACCTTCCTCTAATTTCCTTCTAGTGCTTGATTTTACTGTTTTAACCACAGTTAGAATTATTTATGCCTAAGTGTTATATGGAACTCTTGAAGTATGTACAATATATTATTTATTACTGCCCATCAAGTAATATGAAATGTACATGAGATAGAAAAGTAAAATTTATACTTATAGTTTAGTATCTTTTAATTTAATATATAAGCCATATAAACTATATAATTTATTGATATAAGTATTCATAAACATATACAAGATATGTATCTGTATATTTTATAATTAATATATATGTATTGCATGTATATGTAATTTATGCATTACATATTGTAATACATGTATACTACACATCTATGTGTATTTCTAACATATATGGTTAACTTTGTTTCCAACCATTCAGGTACAGCAAGGTCATCCTGTTCTTTGCCTCTTTGGCAGTCACTGCCTGGTCAGTGATACCTCAGTAGTAGGCCTGGTCAGTGATACCTCAGTAGTAGGCCTGGTTAGTGATACCTCAGAAGCCTGTTATGACCCCGTTCTTGTCATCAGGACAGCCCAATACATATCTTGAATGAGATGGCTTATCAAGGCATCCCAGAAACCACTGGGGGTATTTTTTTCTCTATCCTGCAATTTTTCTCCTGGAGTAGAAGATAGTCCACAAAATACAGTTACCTCTAATACAGGCTCTGACAATTTGATCTTTCATGGATTCTCAGAACAAATAAGGAGGAGAAGATTAAGCACTTCCCCAGTGTACAGAAAGCACCGGAACCCCCACTGAATGTTTTTTTTTTTTTTTGGTTAGAATAATAGAGATTTTTTCATGCCAATAGACTATTACACTTTCAAAGTGGTCACCTCTCCTCAGCTAGCAAATTCCCAATGGTACAATCCCGGATTTCTCCTGCTGCCAAACCACGGGATCATCCTGGTACAGCTGAATGCTGGAGTACCCCAGAAATGGAAACTTCTCAATATTTCTTTTTTTTTCTGGACTCCAGAACTCCCAAACAGATATTAAACCTATAGCCTGGAATTTTCCTGAGAAAAATACAATGGATTATAAATATTAAGCTGTGACTGATTCAGCAAGATTCTGGATTAATACATTAGCTAGTACAATTAGGCTTCATACTCTACCATTAGTTAATGCTGGTACATCCTGGTTTCTCTTTTCAAGTGGGATAGGTGAATCTCAAGTTCCTGTTAAGATGGATACTGGTCAGTCTCAAGTTCAATTTATTAATGTTCCATCTCATGGACAACTTGTAGCTAAACCTTGGCTAGAAATTACTCCTGAAGTTGAAACTTAGAAACAATTTTTAGCTTATAAAACAGGAACAGTGATGCAGATTAAATCCAGTGAAGAGAGTACTAGAAACCAAAAGTATCATGTAGCTCATAGAGTTAACCCTGGTGCAAAACCAGCAACTTACAACTAGATTCCACCAGTACTTTTCATAGTTAATAAAATTGAAATATGGACTCATTGATCACTCAATGAAGATGGATCTCAGCATCCTACAGTAACCCATACCTTTGAACCATGGTGTCAGCTAGTGTTGAATATATTTGTATCCCCAAGAAATTATAGAAAGGACAGATGGATACTAGATTCTCACTGAACCTGAGTCAACTCAGTTCTGGATTTCTTCTATACTGCATACTCTTCATGTGCAAAGTTAAAAGGTGACAATATTAGGGCTTGGACACAACAGAAAACCAGTATAATGAGGCCCTCAAATCAAATAGATAGATTGAGTCCATTGAGTAAACATGTGGCTATTATTACTGAAACCCCTGATGCAGACATGAATCTTAATACATCCTATTATGAATGCAATTGAGCCCTCAATTCACTCCAAAGTTGAGATGATCAAACCCTGAAAGCAGCCTAAAACAGCCATAGTCCTAACATGGATCTAGTCAGAAACTCAATCAGGAAGACTCTTGACTCACCTGAAAGCTGATACAATTAAACAACAGTTACAAATTGAAATAGAAAGAATGAGACCTTGGATTCAGCATAAATTTAAAATACTGAGGCCCAGAACCCAGACTCAAGAATGGAAAGAAAAACACTGGACCCAACCAGAAGCAGATCCAGTTAGGTACTGGTCCCAAACTGGGATGGAAACAGTGGTACCCAGGCCCCAAACTGGAGGTGATAGATCCAGACCCTGAAATCACACTGAAGCTGATATCATCAAACTTTTGTTTTGATCTCAAGCAGAGACAGTCACACAGTGGAGAGAACCAGTAACTCTGACAAATCAGCATTGGATACAGTCTGAAACTGAAATATTGAGGTTTTGGAACCAACCTGTGACTGATAAGTTAAGAGACTGGATACAACATGAAGCTTATGCATTTAGACTCTGGGGCAAGTTTGAAAGTGTTAAAGTTAGATCGTGGACCCAAGCTGAAGATGACACTTTGAGACCCTGGAATCAGAAAGACATTGGTGTAATTGACCCCTGGGTACAAAGTAAAGCTACCGTACTAACACAATGGATGCAGGGAGAGTCTCAAGAATTAAATCCCTGGACACAATCTAAAACTCACACAGTCCCACTGTGGACCCAGACTGAAACTCCAATAGTAAACTCTTGGACCAAGATGTTAGCAGATACAGTCACAACATGGACAAAGGCTGAATTTCAAAAATTAACATCCTGAAGACAGTCTGAAACTGATCCAATCATACTGTGAACTATTGCCAAATCTCCAGCAGTGAATCTCTGGACACATTCTGTATCTGATAAAGTCACATGTTGGAACCAAGAAGAATTTCCAGCCTTATTTCCCTTGACATATTCGTATAGCTAAGACAGTCACACCATGGATCCAGGATAGATTTACAACAGTGAATCTCTGGGCAAAAACTATAGCTGAAACTGTCATACCATTGACCCTTGATGAAATGCACCAATAAATCCATGGAAAGATTGCAGCCTGAATATCTAGAAGGAAATAACTTACTCCCATCTGAATTTAATCCAGTCTCATTGTGGACCATGGCTTATTTGCCAGCAGTAAATTACTGGATACAGTTTGATACTGAGGCAATAACACTGTGAACCCAGATTGAGGCTCCAGCAATACATTCCTGGAAACAGTAGGTAACTGATATAATCACACTAGGGACCAATGATGAATCACTAGTGATGAATTCATGAATATATTCTCCTATATCTGATACAGTCATAATAATGTGTATCTAGGCTGAATCGCTATTATTACATCGTTGGAAACAGTCTGAAACTGATATACTCACAACATGGATTCTGGCTGAAACTCTAGGAGTAAGTCCCTGGGCACATGATATATTCCTATCATGGACCCACCCTGAACATCCACCAGTATCTTGGACTCAAACATGGATTCTGGGTGAAACTCCAGCAATGAATCCCTGGAGAGAGGCTACAGCTGATATGGTCCTACCAAGGAATTAGGCTGAACTTAAAGAGGGAAATGCATGGACAAAGTCTGAAATGTATACAGTCACAGAGTGGATCCTGGATAATTCTCTAGCAGTAAATTCATGGACACAGACAACAGTTGATGCAGACAAGCTGTGGACCAAGCCTGAATTTTCAGCCGTAAATCCCTGGGCAGTCTCTGGGTGATAGTACTATACTGTGGATTCAGGATGACTCTCCAGCAATGAATCCTTTTACACAGTATCTATCTTATAGAATCAAACCATGGGACCAAGATGAATCTTCAGCAGTAAAGCATTTGACACAGGCAATAGCTTATACAATCAAACTCTGGAACCAAGTCAAATTACCTGCCATAAATCTCTGGAAACAATATGAAACTGATACCTTCATACAGTAGACCAAGACTGAATCTCCAAAAGTAAATGACTGGACACAGCCTATACCTGCTGCAGTTATACCACAGAACCAAGATGAACCTGTAGGAGTAAATCCCTCCACAAAGCTTGAAACAGAAATTGTCTTACTGTGGACCCAGGCTCATTCTAAAATCAATAATCTCTGTACATATACTTATTGATAGAGTGAAACCATTGGCTAAGAATGTTTATGTAGTAGTAAATCTATGGAGACAGTCTAAAACTGAGAAAGTCACATCATGGACCCAGGATCTGTTGCCAGCAATAAGTCACTTAGCATTGGCTGTAACTCATATAGACACACTGCAGTACACGGATGTATTTCTAATAATAATTCTCAGGAGAGAGGCTCTAGCTGATATATTCATAACATGGACACAGACAAAATCACCAGCAATCAATTTCTGGTTACAACCTGTACCTGATACAGTCACACTATGGACCTAAACAAAATATCTATAAGTAAACACTTGGAATGAGGCTGAATTTCCAGCTGTAAATCCCATGATGCAGTCTAAGTCTCTAATTGTAAATATCTGGACAGAGTCTGAATGTTCAGTCCCAAGTCCTCTGTTACAGGATGAGACTGACACAGTCATACCATGGACACAGACTGAATTTTTGGCAGTAAATCCATGGACCAAGTCTGTTGCTGATACATTCACAGTGTGTACACAGCCTGTAACTCCATCATTAATCTTCTTTTCATAAAGTTTACATGGTACACTTAAAGCAGGGCATCAAACTGAATGTCTACCAGTAAATATCTGGACAGAGGCTGTAGCTTCCAAAGTTATACCCTGGACCCAGGCTGAATTTCCAGCAATAAATCCCTGGACACAGCCTGTTTTTTATACAGCTACAACTTGGGCACAGGCTGTATCTGCAACAGTAAAGGCCTGGGCACAGCCTTCATCTAATACAATCAGATTATGGTCCCAAACTGAATCTGCAGCATTAATTACATGGATCCTGCCTGTATCTGAGACATACATAGGATTGATCCAATTTGAATCTTCAGCAGTAAATCCTTGGATACTGCCTATATCTAATACATTATCACTGTGGACCCAGCCTGTATCTCTAGCAGTCAATCCATGGATAGAGGCAATAGCTACCAAGTCACCCCATGGATCAAAGCTTTACTTCTAGCAACAAATCCCTGGATACATTCTGTATCTGATATAGTTGCACTGTGGGTGCAGGCTGAATCTTCTGCAGTCATTACCTCCACACAGCCAGTATCTGACAAAATTATACTGTGACTTCTGGCCCAGTCTCCAGTAGGAATTACCTGGACACAGACTGTATCTGATATACTTATATCATGGAACTATGATGAAACTTCAGCAGAAAATCCAGAGGCATGCATGGGCTGAGAAACTGCATGGGCTGCAGTTTCCTCAGTGTTACCATGGACCCAGGGTATCCCTTCAGCAGGAAAAACCTGGACACTACCTGTGTCCAAATCAATCACCCCATGATCTCAGTCTGAGTCTCCAGTGGTAAACACATGGACAGAGGCCACAGCTTCCACAGACACAAAGTGGACTCATGATGATTTTCCAGATGCAAATTCTTATACACAGAGTGATATGGGCTCATTTTGGATGATGGTTAAAACTGAAGCTAAGAAACTCTAGGCACTGCCTGAAGCTAAAATATTTATAGAGTTTCCTTGCTGCCTTAACCTTATACTACGCAACTTTTGATCCAAGATGAAAATCAAGCATCTATTTTATGGACACATCATGAAATTGAAAATATCGATGAATGGACCTTGCCTGAGTTTGGAACACTTATATCCTGGATACTGGCTGTGCCTCAAGCAGCAAAACCATGGTCCCAACCTGAAGCTCAAGTTAAAGAACTTCGTTTAAAACTGGAACAGAAAAAATAAAACCTTGGGCTCAGTCAGAATTTCAAACATTGAGCACGTTTACTCCCTTTGGACCTGGTAAAATAGAATCCTGGGCCAAACAGAGAACTACAACATTTATAACATGGATCCAGTCTGAAATTGATGGCTTCTTCCTGTGTACCCAATCTGAAGTAGGTACAATGAGATCCCAGACCATTTCTGAAGCTCATACAGTAAAACTATGGATCCGGTCTGAAGCAGGCACAATCCACCCCTGGACTCAAGGCAACATTAATACAATCATTGTCTGACACACTATTATATCTGGCTGAAATGCAGGCAGCAAAATGCTTGACCATGCCTGACATTAATACTCTGAGTGCTTGGTTTCAGACCCAAAACAATGTAAGAAGAAGTGGTACTCAACTTTCTTCTCAAAGAGTTACTACCTGGATGAAGCCAGAATGGCAAATAATCCGCCCATTGAACCAATCTGAAAAGAATGCAGTCATACCCTGGACCCAGTCTGAAGGTGATGTTCTGAAACCTTGGATCTATGCTGAAACCAATACAGTCAGACACGAGACACATTCTGCAACTGATAAAATAGAGCAATGGACTGAGCCTGAATCTCAAGCAATTAGGATGTGGCATGAGGTAGGTATGGTGACATGTTGGTCCCCAACTCATAACGCTTCTGTTTGGCCCTGGACCCAACTTGGATCTCAAATGACACACTCCTAGATCCAGAATCAAGTTAGCATAAATTATTCCTGGACTCAGCATGTACGTGCTACAATCAGACCATGGACTTACTCTGAAATTCATCCCTGGACCCACCCTGAAGACAATATAGTGATAAGATACCTGTTCCAGACTCAAATGAATTCAGTAAGATCCTGGAACCAACCTGAAACTGAAGTTTTCCAAATTTGGACTGTAAGCCAAGGAATAAAGCCCTGAAACATGACTGAAATTGATACAGTCACATCTTGCTTATAGACTTAATGTGATACAGTTAGACCCTGGATTCATCCTGAAAGTCAGCTGCTCTTTCCCTGGCCACTGACTGAAGTTGGTACATTTTGGACCTGGACTCAGCCAAGAGCTGCTACATATCAAACCTGGACCCACCTTGAAACCCAAGCAGTGAGACCCTCGATCGAGCAGGAAACTAATATAGTCAGATCTTCATTTTACATTCAAATGAATAAAGGCAGATCATGGGTTTATTCAAAATCTCAAACAGTCAGTCCCTGGATCCAGCTGGAAGTTGACATAATTCACCATTTTATCCAGTCTGAAACCTTCTTACTAAGATTCTGACCCAAGATTCTACCTCCAGTAGTCAAAACACGGACCTTGCTTATAGGAAGAACACTCGTATGTTGGATACTGCCTGTAACCCAAGCAGACAGACACTGTATCCAGTCTGAAGCTGATATTATTGAATCCTTTGCTATTTTTAAAGCGGGAAAAGTAAGAACATGGATCCAGCCTGAAACAGAAATACTAAGACCCATAAACCATTTTAAGGCTGATATAATTGCATCATTTTCTCCTCCTGAAATTGAGCCTAATGGAGAAACACTATTAACGAGTCATTTTGGCTCCTTGTCTAAACATGTGCTCTTTTTGCCAGTAAAAACTGTTTCTTACCCAGATCAGTATTTTATCTTTGTTAACTGAGATAACTGCCACCGAAAGCCAGGATAAAATCAATTCTCTCCAGTTGAGCCAGCGTACAAGTACTTGGTTTCCTGGAAGAGTGTTTACCAGCACTACGGCAGGAAATTAAAAATTATCCAGATAAAAGAAAGCCCTGATGTCCAGGTACCTCTCTTATCTCTCTTTCTTCCTCCATTTTCCTTCCTCTTTCTTATTCTCTTCCATCTCCATGTACACTGTGCCCTTCTTGTTCAGTCTTTTCTTCTTGTACATTCCCTTCATTCTTCATTTTCCCATCTTGCTCAGTTATTTATCCTCTGGTCTCCTCTCTTGTTCTCCTATCCATAGCCTCTTCTACTAATGTTCTTCAGAAAATATCTTCCTCAACATTTCCTGAAGAGTCCATTATTTCTCATTCTTTTTCATCCTTGCATGCTGCTGCAGCCACACTTTCAACAAAACAACTTCTCCTGATGCCTGGATTTCAATCTGGACCCAATCCTGGACAAAAACCTCTTAAGCAATCAGAACTCAATGTTTCCCGGTTGAGTGTCAACTAGCTGTAATCTGGAAGTTTCCAGGCTTTCTGGCTCTTCAAGACAGCTGTTATTTCTCATGAAACCACAGGCACCTTTAGACTAGTCATATGTGTGAGTTAATATACTTGCTACGAAGACTCTTGTTGAACCCTAAAACCACAGTTTGTAAGATCAGAGGTTATGTCCTCAAACCTTTGCAAAACCAAAATTTAGATTATTGTATGAATCAGCAGAGATGTCTAAATATTGAGAGAATATCTTACTTTTGCCAAACAGGATTTATGGGCTATGTTTTATAAACACAATTCTATTCAGAGAAGAGTATTTTTAAGATAGTCTTACTTCTTAGAAATGGTTTATTATTCCACTTGAAGTATATGAATATATACACCCACAACTGGATAATACTATAATATCTTGGATACAATAATAAGATATATTATATATTTATATATACATTAAATTATCATTTGAAGGGAAAGTATCCAAATAACCTCTGTAGCATATCTAAAATTGTAGCATGAATAATGTATATTTCCAAGTATTTTCTCAGAATTGAAGATACTGAATTTCCAAGAACATTCCTAAAAACCTAAAATTATATTTTATAAATAGGATAGTAGTAACACTAATCTCACTCTATTCCACATGTGTATTCCTTCTGCAGAGTGTGGATTATGCCCTGGCCATATCACCCACTGTCACAACCGCTGGGAGTCAGAAATTGGTGAATTCTCTTGAATAGTTTCTGTACAACGTTCTGTCTCCCATTTCTGTGCTGGCTCCATACTAAATGAACACTATTTCCTTACTACAGCTAGATGTGTCAATTTTATGTAAGTCTAAGAAATTTATCTTAAGATTAAGATATCATTATAAAGCAATAATAACATTGAGATTCTAAAGGAATATATTTACCTTTGTGTGTGTGTGTGTGTGTGTGTGTGTGTGTGTGTGTGTGCCTATGTGACAGAAAGAGACAGAGAGAAAGAGAGATAGAGACAGGGTCTTGCTCTATTGCCCAGGCTGGAGTGCAGTGGCGTGATTCAGAGTAGCCTCAAACTACCAAGATTAAGGAGTTCTCCCACCTCTGCCTCCTGAGTTCATGGGACCACAGGCACATACCATTGCATCTGGCTAATTTTTTTTCAGCAGAAATAAAGTCTTATCATGTTGCCTACCTGGTCTCAAATGATCCTTGAAAATAGTTTCTAAAGGAGTATTTGTACTTTAGTGCTTACCTGGACTTCATCTGATTCACGTGACCTCCAGGGCTTTATTCAAATTGAAATGTAGAAATAATAAGACTTTTTCTTGACTTTTTTTTCCCCTGAAAAAACTCAGCAGCCCTGGCCCTGGTCCAAGTGGAGCTTAATCATCTTCTAGATTCTGCCCAAGCTCAGACTGTCAGCATTGACTGTGCCATACCCTACCTAGGTTCCAAGTGATTCTGTGACCTGGGTTGATCTTCCTGAAGCAGCCACCATATTTTCAACCCCTGGTCCTTCCTATATGCCTGAAGGAAAGTCTGGAACAGGAGAAATTTATACAACTATATGACTGTTGGCTATCTAGTTGGTCCCTTATGTGGGCTGAGTAATGAAGAAGACAGTGGGATGAAAGAGAAGCATGTTTGGAAAGAGAATATTATTCTCTCTTGAATAATAAAGTATTTGTCTTTCTCTTCACCATATTCTCTCTCTAATCTAGGCTAAGTATGAAAACAAACACAAAAACCTCTTCTCTGTTTTCTATCAAGGAGTCCTGGAATTATGCAGAAACAGCACCTGAGCATCCTACAAGTCAGCACTTGTAACCAATTTTGCCCAAAACTAAATGAATTCACTTTTTGTGTGGAGGCCAAGAAAGCTACGTGGGAGCCTGGCTGTAAGTTGACAAATTCATGGGGTGTGAATGCCAGGGAGAAGAAGGAATATCTTGAACACCAAAAGTTACTTCCGGCCATCCTTCAAAATATTATTTCCTTGGAAATTGAGGGATCTCTTTTGGTCTCATGAATTAAATGTGCATTTAACCACAGCTATTTTATAGCTACCCCTATTTCTATAGCTACAGTGAATAATATATTTAAAACATAAAGGAGGCCATAATTATTTGCTCACATCCTCCAAGTCTAATTCAAAGAAAACTACATGTAAGATATTAGTTATGCTTCTAATTTCATCTCTACTTGCTTACCCTTTCTATAGACAGGTTATCTCTCTATATATATTCAGGAGCATTGCTTCAACTCAATTTTCTGAGGAACTCTAAAATCATTTCAAAAATATAAGCTCTTTTCTGAAACTCAAACTTGAATTTTCTATTTAAACTATTGGATTGGTATCTCACGAACACTATACGTTTATGAAGATAAGCCCTCTCTAATTTAGAGACAGGTGCTTTATCTCCAGATTTTTCACTATTTATCTAATAGCTTCAAATCATTGCATTTTTTGTTGCCTATCTACTTCAATGACTTCTAAGTAGCTAAAATCATAGATAAATAAATGTTGCAATGGGGGAGAAAGCTGGAATGACTCCCAGTATTTTGACTAAAGAAACTTAAGCTAGGACATAAAGAAACTATGATCTTGGAAAGATAATAAGAACACTTATTTTCAAGAAAAATGCATAAACACAAAAGAGGTAGAAGTTTGTCCTTGCTAGTCATATTTCTCAATGCTGACTTGGTTAGCAGAAATAGGAGGGATTTAAAACTTTAAATAATGGTCTACAGATGGCAATTCTATTCAAATTAGCACATTAGCTTATTTTTCTCCTCAGCTTCAGCAGATCAGATTTCTCTGCAATATGCCATGCCTTGGTAGGCTGGGATCATCAGCTGTGGCAGTCAGGTCTGCAGTGGTTCCGTAGTTAGTAGCTCTTGGGTTCTCACAGCTGCCCACTATGTCAGGAACATGTAAGATTGTGCCTGCCTCTTCCAATACCCTGTAATTCATTATCCTATAATTACATTGCTGAAGGTTTCTGTGTCCAAATTCACTTCAATAATGCATGACCATCTCACTTCTACAGATATCATTTTTGTTTTAGGCTGAAAAGAAATTGCTTTACTGTGGCTTACTAGTACCTCTGTTAGTTAATTCCTCTGCAATCCCATTGTCTGTGGGATTTATTCATATATTTCTGATTTCTCTGAAGATGAGCTAGGGACCTTGTGTATCATGACTAAAAAATATGCTAGAAAGCCTGATGTACGTGTAAGGTTCAGGTTTTCTAATGAATGTACCACAATAAATCTTTGCCTATGCACACAGGAATCCTGAAGACACCGCTGTGATTCTGGGCCTGAGGCACCGTGGGGCATTATTGAGAGTTGTGAAGGTGTCTAGTATTCTATTGCATGAGAGGTTCCAGTTGGTCAGTGGGGCAGAAGGAATGACCTGGCATTACTACTCCTCCAAGATGTCCAGACTCCCATTTGGCTCTTAGCCCCCTTGGGCTATCTGAAGAACCTGAATAGTTCAGCATGCCGGCTCTCTGGGCCACAAATTATTACACCAGGTCAGTGGTTAGTTTTCTTATTTGGGTAGCAGTTCTAAAAAATGAGGTTCATATTTTTAATATTATGGTTCAAGGAAGAAGTACAATCACAATTGTATATATTACTAAGTGTAAGATATTTAATCCACATAAGAGACCCAATAGGAGATTTGTTTTCATTTTATAAGATGATGGCTCTGATGATAACTTCATAGGATTTTAGATCCGAAAACAATTACATGAGGATCTTTCCCTGTACAGTCAATTTTGTAAACTAAAGTAGAGATGATTTGCTTTCCAACTCTTTGCTGACTTCAAAACAAAGGAAAAAGGAGTTTTTTTGTTTGTTTTGTTTTTCCCTCTTTATGAAAATTAAACTGAACTTGACTTGGCGTTTAGAATTTCATAAGTAAAATTTACTTGTTACTTTTGAAGAGTGGCATTTAGAAAGTGATTAAAGAGTGATGATGCTGTCCGCAGTGGCTCACTCCTATAATTCTAGCACTCTGGGAGCTTGAACTAGGAGAATCCTTTGGGCCCAGGAATTTGATACCCACTTGGGCAATATAGCAAGGCTTCATCACTAAAGAACAACAACAACAACAACAACAAATAGCCTGGTGTGGTGTTGCACACATGTAGTCCCAGCTACGTGGGAGGTTGAGACAGGAAGATAGCTTGAGACTGAGAGTTTGAGGCTGCAGCATGTGAAGGTGGTGCCAATGCACTCCAGCCTGTGTGACCACACAATAACTTGTCTCAGAAAAAAAGAGAGGGGGCTGGTGTCGTCGCTCATGCCTGTACTCCCAGCATTTTGGGAGGTTGAGGCCAGCGAATAACCTGAAGTCAGGAGTTTGAGACCAGTCTGACCAACATGGGGAAAACCCATCTCTACCAAAAATATGAAATTAGGCAGGAGTGGTGGTGTGTGCCTGTAATCCCAGCTACTTAGAAGGCTGAGTCAGGAAAATTGCTTGAAACCAAGAGGTGGAAGTTGCAGTGAGATCAGGCCACTGCATTCCAGGCTGAGTGACAGAGTGAAACACCATCTCAAAAAAAAAAAAAAAAAAAAAATGAAGTCACTAGAAAGAGAATGAAATTATTGGCTATAAACTGAATTTCTTTCTATAAGTTATACATACAAGTTTAAAGTAATAATGATACAGTGATAGACAATTCATGGTTTTATCTCAATACTTAGTGTTTAATTGTAAAATATGTTCTATAGGATAGCTATACTCCATTTTTCTTTCTAGGGGAGACTTATGAGAATCCAGAAATGTTAAAGACGCAACTAATGCAAGCTTCCATCTGTGCCCACCTGGATTCTGACATAGGCAGCTCCATTGTTTGCTTTGTTACTGAGGCCAAAGACTCTAATGCAAATGTGGTACACAGTCAAAAATTTTTTTTCTAGCTACTATAAAACTATAGTAACTAGTTTTATAGTAGTTCTATAGTGATAGAAACTATAACTTTGTTCCTATATACAAGGGTATACAGCATATGCCTAAATGATAAATTTAAGTGAATCATTGATTAACAGGAAACCATTTTAAAAGTCTTCAATTGCAGAAAAAATCTCTGAAAACACTTTGTTGTTAATCTCTGAGTTTTCTTACATGGGTCACTAATCTCTAGCCATGCTAAATTGCTGGCATGCTGCCCTTGAAACAAATTAGACATTTTATATAATTCTCATATTCTAATAATAGTATCTTTACACCTCAGAGTTTAAAATGAGTCTAACCTTTTCCTATTTCCCTAATTAAATAACTTTTTTAAAGTTTAATCTTCAGTGATTTTTTGTAGTAATACTTTTGAATGTATTTCATCAGGATGATTTACTTATGTAGTTACCTGATGTCTCACTTTCTTCTGAATGCATATTTTTTATCCATTTATTAGATCTAAGTTTAAGAAGTTGGAATAGGGATTTAAATCCAAATTCTACGTTTGAATTTACAGGAGTCAGTGAGTCTAGGAAGTGCCGTTATTTGTAGACCAATATCTGGCAATGGCAGTTGGAGACAAATAAGCTTCAATAGTCTCAAAGCCCTAGCTACTACAGTGAGTTCACACCTCTCCTGGGTCATATCTACTTCAGCAAAAGAAGGCCACCCACTAAACTAGGCCTTTATGCCTTGGGTGTAAACTCCTAAGTCCTCTAGTCTCCTTAAGCAGCCAACCACAGTGCCACTTACTTCAATAATAATTACTGCACCTCTGAGACTTTCGTAGCCTTGTGACTATAACTAGTGATGCTAGAGTCTGGTCATAGTATGATAAAACACCAGAGCAATAAAAACAAAATATTGACTTAAGCCTCCTAAAATCTCTCTAAATATACCTTCAATAAATATGCTTTTTCTACATAACAACTGCTTTCTACTTACTTCCTGAACTAATGCTTGGCCTTGGATTATTTTCATTCTTGAAATTGATTCAAAAGTGTATATTTAACATGAGGGCGAATACAGAATTTCATATGTCAGCAAATAAAATTTTCAAAGTGATGCAAAATACAAATGTGAACTTGTGTTTGTGAACTTTACTATTCCTTCAAATTAAATGCTCATACCTACCCACTCACACAATTTTTTATAACTATCTGCATGTTCTTCTCAGGTGGGAGAAAACAGTATCAGAGTTCTTGAATAATTTATGGAAGTCAGAATGACAATACTATACAAGGTTTAACCTATTCACAATACTGTATTTAGTGAATGAAGACATGACTTTTAAAATCCTACTAAAGTATTAAGTAAGTAAAATATATGATTTCAATAACTCTAAAATATGTGTACATGAAGAAAATAGATCAAGGATTAAAATACGTAAACAACAAATGAGTCCGGGTGTGGTGGCACACATCTGGAAGACCAGCATTTTGAAAAGGCTTATGTGGTCAGATCACTTGAGGTCAGGAGTACAAGACCAGCCTGGCAAATATGGTGAAACCCAGTCTCGACTAAAAGTACAAAAGTTAGCTGGACCTGGTGTCATGCACCTGAAATCCCAGCTCCTCAGAAGGCTGAGGCAGGGGAATTGCTTGGACCTGGGAGGCAGAGGTTTCAGTGAACCGAGATCATGCCACTTCACTCCAGCCTGGGTGACAGAGTGAGACTCCATTTCAAAACACACACACACACACACACACACACACACACACACACACACACACAAACGAATAAAAAAAAATCTGTTTTAGAAAAAGTGCTCACAGGAAACTCACATATCTAACAGAAAAAAAAAAATTCTTGAAAACAAAAGTTCCAGAATGGGCAGATAAGAAAACAAATTTAACACTTTGCATATAAAGTACAAATAGTAAACTGAAAAGAACCACAGGGGAAAACCATTCAAAATTTACAACTAAGTACTCTAAAAGAAGCTGAAAGTCCCTCAAAAACTTTCTAGAGCCCATGTTCCTGTATTGCAAAAATGATCATAAAATTTGCCAAGAGTAGAACAATAAAAATGTATCTTAAACCTTGATAAATACTTCAAGTCTCACATAAGATTTGTAATGGAAAATGGATCCTTCCGCAGGTTTTGCATACAATTATGAACAAACCATTTTTCTTTGTATTTAAATTGGCTTTTTCAATATTCTAAGAAATTAACTTTTATATTAATAGTAGGTGATGTAACAAAGCAGGTCTTTATCAAGATAACTGACACTGGATATCCACACCATTACTCAGGTGGGCCTTAATTCCCAGTCAGGTTCCCTCCCTGGACACACACTGAAGGTCCACATCTATTTTGTAATCTCTTCACATTTACAGCCCTGGAGGAAGCTCTAAAATACATGTACATTCAGAAAATAGAACATTTCCTCACACTGGAGCCCAGTGTGGTCCTCCAGATTCCCTGTACAGTGGCCTGTCTTATCTGGGAAGGAAGGGCAGTGGGAGTGCAAGTGAGGATGGCAGAGAGGAGAATGCATGTCAGGGGTGCCTGGGGTCATTAAAACAGAACATGACAGGCCTGGGAGAAACATTTTGAAAGGGTGTAGACCTAGATTGGCCTCAGGTGCACATCTGCTTGGAGAGGGAGAGGGCCCTGGTTGAGCTCAATCTGAGCCCCAGGTGGCAGCAGGCCTCAAGGCAGGGGAGGGAGCTGGTGAGTGATGATGAGACAGCTATCCCTTAAGCCCTGCTTCTCACTGACATTAGACACATATGCATTGTCGATGGCTTAGGGTTCCCCAATCCTAAAATGTGGGTGTTACAGTTCCCTGATGGGCCTTTCTTCCCAAACCGATGGTTGGCCTGGGATTGCTCACTGCAGTCTTCTCCATGATCCTTGAGTTCTCCATGCAGGGTACAGATCCATGACTCGAAGGCCTCTCAGTTCCCAGACCTAGGCTGCTCACCTGGCCTCCTCTTTGTTCCCTCTCTAATGCTGTCCCTCACTCCCTGGGGTAGAACTCCAATGGATTGAGCCATAGGCCCTGGCTAATGATCTGGGGAACTGCAGAAGGGGTCCACAACAGGTCAGGTCACAGTTCAAAGCCCATTCCCAAGAGGCCAAGGAATGAGCAGCAAGGTCCTTTCCCATGATGCCCCACCACGGACCCCACCTCAGCAATCCTGCCAAAACCCAGGCAGTCATATTCAGCCAAACAGCTGAACAAGCTCAGGTAGGCAATGTTCTGCCTACAGCTGGAGGCTTGACCTTCATGATCCCACTGGACTGCAGTGGAATGAGACACCCTGTACCCTGCAGGGAGAGGAGTCAGGGAGGTTCATGACAGGCTTACCCTCTCACACACCAGCTCCCTTACCATGCTGAGAGGCACTTCTTACCCAGGATGCCAAAGAAGTATTCCTTAATGATAACTTCATTGTGGAAGTAAAGGTTGTGATGAAAGGAAATTTCATCCAGCCGCCGGTAACCAGGATGACTGAGTTCCTCCACCTGTCTGATCAAGAAGAAGAAAGAGGATGGACTCAACGGGACCATTTCATCTAGCTGGGCTGAAGTGGGCTGCCATCTGGAGTAAAGGATGAGTTTCCCCTTTCCAGCTCTGCCACTGAGACAGCCCCAGGCCCCAGGGGAACCTCAAACTGACTCAGAAACTGGACCACTCCCACAGACCCAGGCTCCCCACCCTGACCTGCAAATCCATCATGTAGCAAAGCAGGACTTCATCATGGTTTCTGACCTAGGCCGACATCTGGGCTTGCCAAGCAATCTACCTCTGGTCAAGGAGCCTCCAGATGATTGGTTGGGCAAGCGTGGTGACACCCTGCAATTTTGCAAGATCACAGAGAATGTGGAGCAGGGCTATCTTCCAGACATTTGGCCTGTCACCCTCTCTTGTTGATCCCCTGTCTTTGGCAAGAAGGCAACACCACGACTGTGGTGGTTTTTGGTTGGGTGGAGCCAGGCCAAGCTGGCCTGCACTGACCAGGGACAGGAAGCAGAATGAGTGGGCAGGTGGTTTTGGCTGAGGGAGGGATGGGGGAAGGCAGGGTGGTATGAGGTGTCTGCTTCCTCAGGGTTCATGAGCTGCAGGAGGCCCTTGTGTGCTGGGTTCTGGACATGCTCTGCTGATATCTGGGTGTGTGGTGTCCTCTTATCCTGGACTCCCTGAGGGTGTGCCTGTCCACTTGAGGGAAGCCTTGTAGGTAGAAGGAGCTTGCAGGATTTTGCCTGGTGCTCCCCATGGGAATTGTGTGGGTGCAAAGGAGTTTATATATGCTCGGGGCCTACACCTCTTTTGGTGCAGCGCCCGCAGGGGAAAGAAAGCGTTATCTGGGGAGCTGGTACCTGCCTTGAGGAGGTCAGCAGCCCCATGCACCACAAACTCGAGTCTTTAGCACCTTGTGTTTCTGGGGTGAGCCTGGTGGAAACAGGCACTAAAAGCGGGGGTGGTTCATTAGCTGGCCCGAGCTTGCAGACTCCCCTTCCTCCAGGGCATTTCCCAGGGAAACGTGCCCCTTAACTTTGTGCTGTGAGTGAAGGACCCTTGGCGCCGAGATTCCTCCTTGTGAGTACTGTGCTTGGCTTCCCTTCCCTACCACGTGCTCCCGGGGCTCCCACAAGCAAGCTAGCCTCCTATCTGCAGGAACCTGGCCTCCGCTCCCAACCTGTGCCCCATCCCCTGCCTCCTGGCTCACCCCATACGCCTCCCTCCTGGCTCCTCCCCCAACCCAGCCCCCATGCCCCCCACCCCGAAGCCTGATGCCCATCCCCTGCTGCCAGCAATACCGAATGGACAGCTGCAAGGATATGGCTCTGTCCCAGAAGCCGGAGACGCCCTGTGGCCTGGCCCATTCACAGCCCAGCTGCAAGTGAAGGACCTCCAGAGAGTCCATTCACGGCCCGGTTCTGCTGGGTCCAGGGCCAGGCTGTGCCCGCTGGTCCTCCTTCTGCCACTACACATTGGTCTCCTCCTTAACCACCACCTCCTTCTCAGCCATTATGTCTTCCACCATCAGCACCGCCTCCTCTTTCAAGGCCGCCTCCTTGCTCTGTACCCGGGCCGTCCTCTCCAGCAGAGCCTCCCGCCTGAACACTGTGCCCTCCTGGGTACTCCCGCAGACCCCGGTCTGTGCAGCCCAGCCCATCCCCGGCACCACTAGGCTCTGGGGCCGCTCCCCAGGAGGCCCGCTCCCCGGAAGGCCCACAGACCTCGCCCTGCTGAGAACCTAGTCCCACAGGTACGTAGACGCAGGTTTCCTGAAAAGCCCGGCTGGGCCCGCAGATCGCCGCACTTGACCTGGGGCTCAGGTCCCCAGCAGGGTCAACTGCGCACAGGAGCTCAGGAGCCACAGCCCAAGGCCTTGGGCTTGCAGAGCCCCACCAGCAGGCACCGCAGCCGCTGCTGCACGTGCGGGAGCCTCTAGGTCTGCAAGGCAGCGCACAATTGTGTGCACGCAGGATATCGACGGCCAACCTGGCGGCTGGTCTCCGGTGTGCCTAGGGCATAGGACGAGAGGCACTTTGGAATGCTCCCCGGAGTACAGCATCCTCACGGAGGAAGCATGGTACGCGGAGCCTGTATTTGCCTCGACCTGCGAGAGCGCTTGCCGGGGTTCTGGCCTCTAGAGGCGACGACTTCCACCCAAGCATAACCCGGCTACTTTCCTCCCTAGCGTCGGCCCCGACCCACTTTCCCCAGGCCACCCCCACTGCCCTCGCCCCAGCAGCCAGAGAGAGTTCTCCTCTGGATCTGCAATATTCCGTATCATCTACCTGGCTTGCCTAATGAAATGAGATGTTTCATGTGCTCCTTGTGGGTCAATGATTTGCCACATTCAGGATGTCAGTTAGGGCACAGGTCTCCCATGCCCGCAATTCCAAAGGCCACGCAGCCCACGTGTGCCTGGACGCAGCGCTACCTGGCACAAGCTCCAAGGGCTTTTCAGAGGAGGGTTACCCCAGGAGGCTGGGACTGCAGGCCAACCTGGGTTGGTGCCGCCCAGGGAGACGCCCACCGCCCTCCGACTGATTGACCGCGGGGGGAGGCGGGTGGTGTTGGCGCGGCTCCTGGCGCCGTTTGCCTGAAGTCTGTTGGGGGAGCCTGGAGCCCAGTGCATGCGCCCTGAGGGCCCTCCGACCCACAGGCTCCAGTAAGGGCAGCGGCAGGGTTCCTGTGGTGTGGGTCAGGCAGCACAGGCGGTGGTCTGTGGGAGTCCGGAGAAGGGCACTGTCTTCAGGATGGAGGCTGTACAGGAGGGGGCTCCCGGTGCGCAGAGCGGGGAGGCAGCCTTGGAGGAGGAGTTGTGCTGCTGTTAGACAACATAATGGCGGAGACGAAGGTGGTGGCCCAGGAGGAGGCCGACGTGGAGCTGCAGGAGGAGGACCAACGGGCACAGCCTGGCCCTGGGCCCATGACCCCAGAGTCTGCACTGGTGGAGCTGCTGGTCGTTCAGGTGGGGCTGGAGCTGGTTAATGCCCGAGCCAGGAATACCTTTTCTCAGGAGAGGAGAAAGATGGAGCAGAGGCGCAAGCCCCAGCTGGACCGCAGAGGCGCCATCATCCAGAGCATCCCTGGCTTCTGGGCCAGTGTTGCATCATTTTCAGTGTTTCTTCTGCCTATCTAGTTGAGAGGTGCTCTTGGGGAAGTGTAAGTAACTGATGGGCAGCTCGGCGTCGATGTGACCATTTGGGGAAGAAACGTGGGTTGCCACGGACACATGTGGCTGTAAAAAGCCGGAGCAGAGGCGGGTACTATCTTCCTGCATGCAGCGGAGAAACCCTTCGTGATGCTGAGCATCAGACGTTTGGGGCATCTTTTTGAAGAGCAGAAGCGAGTTCTCACCAGAACAGGTTTTTCTGTGAATCAAGATATTGTTAAGGGTGTGTGATTGCTCCCCCTTACTAGTCTGATCTGAGACTGGGAGTCTTTGGGTATAAGCAGATTCTGCCACTCCTTAGACACCAGGAACTCTCTGCAAATTTCCCCTCCCAATATCAGTGCAGTCAGCCTCAGAATTACATACTCTCCGTGAACCCAAGAGTCCTTAATTCAGGGGGAGGGAGAGGGGAAAGGGAGGTCATACATGGAAGCAGATCTGATAAATTCCATACCCCTGCCTTTGGGTGCTCTTAGGCCTTCTTCCCTGTTGTTTCTAGCTTTTCCTTCCATGGCATCTAAAGCCTCTTTGACCTAAATCAAGATTGCGAACCACCCCCAGATGTCAGCCTTGATTATGGGTTTATATGCCCACAGATACATCAATCACATCTCCTGGCACTGCTCTGTAATAGAGAGGCCTGGCCTCTGTGAGTCATGGTTCCTAGGCTCCCATAAAAATTACTTCCTGTTTCAATTCAGTTGAGGGGTGACAGTGAAGAGACTAGAGAACAAGAAGACTAGAGAAGCCAGTGTGTGTCCCTCTCCTTCTCAGCAGGGGATATGTTTCTGCAGTGATTCCATGGCCTGCAGGACATGCTCTCTGTTTTCATTTTCTATTTAGTGACCCTAATCCTAGAATATTCTAATGCTATTTCCTCCAATTGTCTTCTCTAAAGAATTTGGGTATCATTTTTGGAGACTTAAATAAAAACTATTGATATGGAAGGGGGTAGAGAAGTGCTGGGTAGGGGAGGGCATGGTCCTTGGTTAGGGCTCCACCCTCAGACCTGTGTTCACTCACATAGGTGAGGACAAACACTTCTGTTTTCTTGTCCAAATGTTGCATTTCCCAAGACCACCCTGGCCTGCCACACCTCCATCCTGTGATATAAGAAACTCCGATACCCTAGCAGGCAGTGACATACCCGCAGATGTTGAGAGGAACATTTCCCAAGACCACCCTGGCCTGCTACACCTCCATCCTGTGATATAAGAAACCTGGAGACCCTAGCAGGCAGTGACATAGCCGCAGATGTCGAGAGGAACCATCAGCAGAAAAAGACGCAGCAACTGGACCTTGAGAAGACACCAGAGGAAGGAAAGCACAAGGACAGAGGTGGCAGGCCATCCACCTCAGAAGAACATGGAGTCCCATGGGGCTGTGGGAAGAGAGTCCAGAGCTGCCCCATTCCAAGGGAAACCGACCTTCCTGCTCCATCTCCCTTGTGGGTCCCCATCTATCTGCTGAGAGCATCCACTCAATGAAACCTGGCACTTATTCTTCAAGCCCACGTGGGAGCCAATTCTTCAGGTACACCAAGGCAAGAAACCCCGGGATTCAGATAGCCCTCTGTGTTTGCAGTAAGGCAGGGTGTCTGATGGAGCTGACTAACTCAAGCCACCTACGGATGGATAAACTAAAATAACACCATGTAACACATGACCTCTGGCAATTCCAGATCTGTGAACATTCATCCCTAGACACTGCCTGGGAGCAGAGCCCCACAACCTGTCCTCATTGCAAGCTCCATTGGGAAGGGTAAAAGCGATGTTTTCCCGTTTCAATATAAGTCTGTTTTCAATGCAGTGTGCTTTCTATAATACTGCCGTGTTACCTCATTTCATATATTTGACAAAATAAGTTACAAATTATAAGTAATGTGAGAAGAAAATAAATGGTGAAGAGTAAGATAGAAAATGAAACATGTTGTCATTAAGGAATGTGTTTTACTTCATATAGCAGAAAAAAGTAAGCATGAATTAAACAAAAAGGGATTTCTGTTTTTCACATGTGAACCAGCCATAGTTAGGCAGTTGCTGCCTTTGATTAGTTGCTCTGCTACATGGTAGTAGCAGAGCTGCATGGTAGTAGCAGTGAATTTTTGGCTATTTTCTCTAAGGCGAAACCTAGATGAAATTCCACACCATGTTGAATTTCAACCAGCTGTTCCTAGCCAGATTTGCCCACACCCTGGTTTTCCACAGTCTTATCATCTCCTACTTTATGTGGCTATTTTAACAGTGTATATTTGCTAGTCATGTGAAACACCTGTCTGAGATTTTCTATGCTCCTGCAATCACCTACTATTTTTCCTATCTCAAATTATGTGCCTTGCTCACTTTTCTCCTCAGGACACTATAGGATGTTCTTTAGCTGATTTTTTTAAAAGAGCATTGGTAAACCAGTTTCATTTCCCTCAGATACTTGTGAGAGTTTCTGAGAAACTTATACAAGTCTCAGCTAAACACCTGGCACTGGACCACTACCCTTTCAGCTGCCTGTTGCTGACTTCTTTCATTAGATAAGATCCCCCAGGCAGCACCTGCTTGTGTTGCCCTGCCTCCACTTGGTGTCCTAAAGACAATATCTAATGTTTAAAACACCTTAAGTCTTAGATATAGCATAAAGTGTTTATGGGATACAAAACAACAATCAGACACAACAGATTGAGTCATTCTTTTTTAAACTCTTATATGAAATTATTTTGTAGTTTGTCTTATTGGAAGTGAGAGACCCAGAGAGTAGAAACAGTGCTTCCGCTTCATCCACCCTAATGCATCTCAAACATCTGTCTCATCACTTGCTTTCTATGAGATGTCCATGTATGAGCTCCCATAAAATGTTGCATAATTTATACAAGCAAATGGTCCTATGGAACAATATTAATTTTTAAAGACAAATCCTCATTCAAAAGTAAAGATTTTCAAAACCAGAAATAATTTACAGAAATGCTACAAAATGTGGCATAATAATCATAGTGTGGAAATAGAAATTCAGACAAACTTTCATATTGTTACTGAGAGTATTTTTCCTTGAAGAGCTATAGTACTGGCTATCTGCATCCCAGTAATATTTTTATTATTTTTTACCGTCTCATAACCAAATGGCCCACAAGGTTAGATTTTCTGTGATAGAGTGTTTGACTAAAGAGTCAATAACTCTTGCAACTGAGATCATCCTTAGAAATTAGCTTAGAAATTAGTTGACCAAAATCTCAAAGTTCCCAAGGCCAATCCTTAGGGTTCAATCTCAGACTGTAATAGTGTTTTCTTCAGAACAGTGGCTTTAAGTAGGCAGATATTTTCACATTTATAATCTATTGGTGGAAAGTCTGGTCTTAAAGTAAGAGCAGCAGATGCATCTCTCCTTTCATGACAAGTTTGACACTCAAGAGATGATAAACTTATAGGAAAAAATGGTTTTCTCCATTTTTCTTTAGCTATCTATTCCCAGAAGAAATTAGAATAAATATATGAATGACATTTTGAAACATTCTGGAAAAAATTAAAGAAGAGCATATTAAGAAACAAAACTTTTGCCAGTATCAGTCTTTGACGACAAAGTTAACCACTTCAACTATACAGTATAAATGTATTTACAAATAAAGTGAATGCATAGGGAAATGTTTCTTGCATTGCACCCACTTTCTCCAGTGATGTCCTAGCCACTCATTTAAAATGGGTCATTGATTGAATTACAACTATAACCTTAATGCAAATAGTACAGTAGAAATTTTTTTAAAACAGAACACATGCACACATTGGTTATTCTTCCAGTTGTACTGTTTCTTTTGTATGGGTGTGTGTATGTCTATGTAATTTTAGAAAGTTATAGAGAATAGATTTCGGGCAAGTAATTAGAAAGTAACCAGATTTTATTTGCAATAAAAATGAAAATGGTTAACTTTAATTGAAATTTTAGTAGAACAGTAAAACTGTATAAGAATTTATCCTGCTCAGGGAAAAGATATGTAGTGTTTTGCAGACTGAAAGAGTTATTTCCTGAGTAACCAAGTGTTGGTATTTACTGCAGAAATAGATTTGTTTTGGTAGATCCCTGTAGCCAGCTACCTGCAGAGAAGGAAATCCTACTAGAGAGAATTCTAAATAGAATAAATAAATATTCTTTCATTTGGGTGAAGTGTTCACATACGATATTCTTTTATATTCATCTATAAACATTTACTTTTAATACACTTTCCAAAAAATTAAAGTAATTATAAAAATTAACAAGAGAATTGTATATTCCTTATTTAAAATTTTTAGCCTTTTCAAATCTAAGAAGGCCACTGTGAAATACCTGAAAATGAGATATAAAATGGAAAAGAAAAGAAAATCCAGCAGAATGTACCAGATTTTTTTAATGTGTTGGATGTACATATATCTGTTAGCTTTTAGTGGCAGACAGAGTGCAGTCTACATAATTTTGTTCATAATAGTTGCCTATGCATCATACATTCACACATAAATATTATTTCTCTGAAGATTGAAATAGAAAGCTAGTAGAACACAACATGACACATATGCTGAATTACATTTAAGCAAGAGTGAATTATGTAGTTAAATGATCTCTTCAAGGGGCTTCTTACCACTCTCTCACTAGGTAGTCTAGGGATTAATTAAGTTCCTAAGCTCTTTCAAGCTAAGAAACACTATGTAGTGCTATACGTTATCTTGGTAACACAAGAGGGAGGCATAAGTGATTTGCAACTTCATAGGCTCTGTGAAATGTGTCTAACCTGATAGACAGTTTTTTTCTGACAGTGTTTTATGGATTGGAAAGTGCTTATCAGATTTGAAGGTCGAATTTGCTCTATTAAAATCATGCTAATCTGCAAAATCAATCTTTGTTCTATGTGTATGTAGAGTGATGTTTCTCAAAATAGAAGAAAACTTGGGATATGATTTGGAAGGTAATATAATGAGGTAGAATTTTGACATCAATTATAACTTATCTATTATCGTTTGACTCAGCTAATGCTCTCTTAATTAGTGCAACTGAAGTCTAGTTAATCTGCGTAAAGGTAGAGGAAATTTTGTAACTAATACAATATTATGTAACCATGAATCTGTTGCCAAAATACCAGAAAATGTAAAATCTGTGAAAGGGAAAAAAAAAATGCAAAACAGAGGAGGCTTTGGAGGTATTTTTACTGTAAGGACATTGAAACTTAAGAATTTAAATGATGTTCCCAGGATCACCAGCTGGTAAATACTAGAGTTTCAAACATCAACTCATTTAATTCTTTCAACAACTTTTTATTTTAAGTACTACTATTATTTGTATGCAACAAATAAGGTGACTGAGGTCCAGGGAAGGTAAGTAACTTGGCCAGGGCCATGTGGCTAATAAGTGTCAGAGCCAGGATTCAGGCCAAGAAATTTGACTCCAGAGCCCATGCTTTTAATTTTACACCATTCTGTCTCTCCAGGAATAGCTGTACTCAGTTTCCAGACTTCGCTTTCCTCAACCCCTCCCACTTTTCTTTTCATTATATTGTGTTGCCAAGCACACACACAGACACACACACACACACACACACACAGACACACGCCTGCTAAAAAACATATATAACCCCATAAAACATTTAACAAAAACATGTATATGTGTATACATTCTTTGCTTCTCAGTGTGTCTGCAGAATGATGATTGATAAATGACTCAAATCAGAGAGCAAAAGAGACTGATTCTGTTTTATCATCAGCCAGAAAAAGGAAGATTCCTTTAGGCATTCTAAGCATAAGGCAAGATGAATAGTGTGCTAATTAGCTCTAACACTATCAGCCTGCTGTCCTTTGTTTGGGGCCAAGAATAAAAGCGGTTACATTGTGCCTAACAACATGGTCCACTGGCCTTATTACAAGGCTCCAAGAAGGATTTTGCAACATAAGCATATGGATATTTTGCAATATTTACAGGGAGTGAAATATATGCTGATTAGCATACAAGCTACAAATGTTTCATGTTGTAAGCCTTTTCAATTTCTTTCCAAAGGTATTGCTGCTTATCCTCCACTTGGATATATATTTTTTAATTTGAAGAAAATATTTTACTCAGTTACAACCTGAGCTATGACTTTTGTAGTGAATTTAAAAGAAAATACCATTAATATAGTATAGTCCAAAGAATATTGTAGAGTCAGAAATCATGAAGTTAAGTCCCATTTTTGCTCTGCACATTAGTTATCCTTTCTTCATAGCTGGAGAAAATCAAATCATCAGCCACCCTAGTTTAACTTTAATTGTTCTCAAAACTCAAATTAAGTCTCAATACTTCCTGGAATTTCCACTGTTTTTCTATAGCAAGTTCACTTTTTCACTATCTCTAAACTCATTTTCATATCTTCCCTTTCCTTAAATTTTATATACCCACCTGTCCCAATCTCATTGTTTCCAATTGTATACCTCACTGAGAAAATGGGAGGAAGCCATGAAAAGAAGCTTGCTCCATATTTTGACTGTGACATCTCCAAGCCTGATGTTAATATACCCCTTTTCTTTATTTCAAACCAAGAAAGTGTCCCCATTTCTAAGAGATGGGACAGTCGTTCCACAATTGTACTGGGTCCCATTCTTCTTCACTCCCCAAGGATTTTACTCTTTCAGGTGCACCATATTTCTCTTGCAACATCAGTTTCTCCTGTATTGTATCATATCTGTTAACATTCAAACATGTTAAAAAAATGCCATCTTCAAAATAATATGATAAAATACTTATTTACCCTAAATCCCTATCTACAGTCTAATTTATCTGCTTTCCTCACTGCAAAACCTGTTATAAGAATTGTTGATGTGGGCGGTGGCTCACGTCTGTAATCCCAGCACTTTGGGAGGCCAAGGTGGGTGGATCACGAGATGCAGTCCATCCTGGCAGACACGGTGAAACCCCCCTCTTCTTTTTTTTTTTTTGGAGAGATTAATATTTTATTTTATTTTTTATTTTCTTTTACTTTTTTATTATACTTTAAGTTTTAGGGTACATGTGCACAACGTCCACGTTTGTTCCATATGTATGCATGTACCATGTTGGTGTGCTGCACCCATTAACTCATCATTTAGCATTAGGTATATCTCCTAATGCTATCCCTCCACCTCCCCCTACCCCACAACAGGCCCCAGTGTGTGATGTTCCCCTTCCTGTGTCCATGTGTTCTCACTGTTCAGTTCCCACCTATGAGTAAGAACATGCAGTGTTTTGTTTTTTGTCCTTGAGATAGTTTGCTGAGAATGATAGTTTCCAGCTTCATCCATGTCCCTACAAAGGACATGAACTCATCATTTTTCATGGCTGCATAGTATTCCATGGTGTATATGTGCCACATTTTCTTAATCCAGTCTGTCATTGTTGGACATTTGGCTTGGTTCCAAGTCTTTGCTATTATGAATAGTGCCTCAATAAACATACGTGTGCATGTGTCTTTATAGAAGCATGATTTATAATCCTTTGGGTATATACCCAGTAATGGGATAGCTGGGTCAAATGGTATTTCTAGTTCTAGATCCCTGAGGAATCACCACACTGACTTCCACAACTGTTGAACTAGTTTACAGTCCCACCAACAGTGTAAAAGTGTTCCTATTTCTCCACATCCTCTCCAGCACCTGTTGTTTCCTGACTTTTTAATGATCGCCATTCTAATTGGTGTGTGATGCTATCTCATTGTGGTTTTGATTTGCATTTCTCTGATGGCCAGTGATCATGAGCATTTTTTCATGTGTCTTTTGGCTGCATAAATGTCTTCTTTTGAGAAGTGTCTGTTCATATCCTTCGCCCACTTGTTGATGGGGTGTTTGTTTTTTTCTTGTAAATTTGTTGGAGTTCATTGTAGATTCTGGATATTAGCCCTTTGTCAGATGAGTAGATTAGAAAAATTTTCTCCCATTCCGTAGGTTGCCTGTTCACTCTGATGGTAGTTTCTTTTGGTGTGCAGAAGCTCTTTAGTTTAATTAGATCCCATTTGTCAATTTTGGCTTTTGTTGCCATTGCTTTTGGTGTTTTAGACATGAACTCCTTGCCCATGTCTATATCCTGAATGGTATGGCCTAGGTTTTCTTCTAGGGTTTTTATGGTTTTATGTCTAACATTTAAGTCTTTAATCCATATTAAATTAATTTTTTATAAGGTGTAAGGAAGTGATGCAGTTTCAGCTTTCTACATATGGCTAGCCAGTTTTCCCAGCACCATTTATTAAGTAGGGAATCCTTTCCCCATTTTTTGTTTTTGTAAAGTTTGTCAAAGAACAAATAGTTGTAGATATGCAGCATTATTTCTGAGGGCTCTGATCTGTTCCATTGGTCTATATCTCTGATTGGTACCAGTACCATGCTTTTTTGGTTACTGTAGATTGTAGTATAGTTTGAAGTCAGGTAGCATGTTGCCTCCAGCTTTGTTCTTTTGGTTTAGGATTGACTTGGCAATGCGGGCTCTTTTTTGGTTCCGTATGAACTTTAAAGTAGTATTTTCCAATTCTCTTAAGAAATCATTGGTAGCTTGATGGGGATGGCATTGAATCTATAAATTACCTTGGGCAGTATGGCCATTTTCATGATATTGATTCTTCCTACCCATGAACATGGGATTTTCTTCCATTTGTTTGTATCCTGTTTTATTTCATTGAGCAGTGGTTTGTAGTTCTCCTTGAAGAGGCCCTTCATATCACTTGTGAGTTGGATTCCTAGGTATTTTATTCTTTTTGAAGCAATTGCGAATGGGAGTTCACTAATGATTTGGCTCTCTGTTTGTCTGTTATTGGTGTATAAGAATGCTTGTGATTTCTGCACATTGATTTTGTATGCTGAGACTTTGGTGAAGCTGCCTATCAGCTTAAGGAGATTTTGGACTGAGACAAAAATACAACAAAAATTAGCCAGACGTGGAGGGTTACACAGGAGAATTGCTTTAACCTGGGAGGTAGAGGTTGCAGTGGGATGAGATCGCACCACTGTACTTCAGCCTGGGTGATATAATAAGACTCCATCCCCCCTCCAAAAAAAAAAAAGAAAAAGAGAAAAAAAAAGAGTTGTTGATACTCACTTTTTTTCTCAAAATTCTGATCACTCCTTAAACCATCCAGATTTCAGTCTGTCCACTCCACTGATCTTGCTTTTGTCAAGGTCATCAGTGACTTCTATATTTCCAATTTAATGGTCACCTATCACTCTTAAAGAGTTGGACATCCGTTCTTTGTTTGAACATCTTCTTCCCTTGTCTTTTGTAAAGTCAAGTTTAATTTTGTTTTCTTCCTACCTCACTGACTTCTCTCATTCTCCTTGACTGGCTCCTACTTAATTCAGCCCCTAAATGTTTGTCCTAGGCTCTCTACTTATTTGTGACATTCACTAGATTCCACCAAACCTCTGCTTCCAATATGCTGTTTCTTTAACTATATATGCACTATTTTTATTTCCTTCATACTTAGAATTTAACATGGCTGATTAGACATAGTTCGTGGAAAAAATATAGTTCTGGATTAGATTGGAAGTTGGCTTCTGATCAGATTTATTCACCTTGAATACTCAGGTTTACAGTGTCTATCTTATAGTCATTAAGTACCAAATATAATTTTTAAAGCAGGTTGAATTTATATGAACAGGAACAGAATATGGAAGACAATGGACATCAAGTCTATCAGTTAAGAGTTTGAGGGGGTGGAGCCAAGGTGGCCGAATAGGAACAGCTCCAGTCTACAGCTCCCAGCATGAGAGATGCAGAAGAAGAGTGATTTCTGCATTTCCAACTGAGGTACCAGGTCCATCTCACTGGAGAGTGTCGGACAGTGGGTGCAGGAAGTGGGTGCAGCGCAACAAGCATGAGGCATAGCAGGGCGAGTCATCTCCTCACCCGGGAAGAACAAGGGGTCAGGGAATTCCCTTTCCTACTCAAAGAAAGGGGTGACAGATGGCACCTGGAAAATTGGGTCACTCCTGCCCTAATACTGTGCTTTTCCAATGCTCTTAGCAAATGGCACACCAGGAGATTATATCCTGTGCCTGGCTTGGAGGGTCCTATGCCCACAGAGCCTCACTCATTGCTAGCACAGCATGCTGAGATCAAATTGCAAGGCAGCAGCGAGGCTGGAGGAGGCTTGAGTAGGTAAACAAAGCAGCCAGGAAGCTTGAACTGGGTGGAGCTCACCAAAGCTCAAGGAGGCCTTCCTGCCTCTATAGACTCCACCTCTGGGGCCAGAGCATAGCCAAACAAAAGGCAGCAGAACACTCTGCAGACTTAAATGTCCCTGTCTGACAGCTTTGAAGAGAGTAGTGGTTCTCCCATCACGCAGCTGGAGGTCTGAGAACAGTAAGGCTGCCTCCTCAAGTGGGTCCCTGACCCCCGAGTAGCCTATCTGGGAGGCACCCCCCAGTAGGGGCAGACTGACACCTCACACGGCCGGGTACTCCTCTGAGACAAAACTTCCAGAGGAACCATCAGGCAGCAACATTTGCTGCTCACCAATGTCTGCTGTTCTGCAGCCTGCACTGCTGACACGCAGGAAAACAGGGTCTGCAGAGGACCTCCAGCAAACTCCAACAGACCTGCAGCTGAGGGTCCTGACTGTTAGAAGGAAAACTAACAAACAGAAAGGACATCCACACCAAAACCCCATCTGTACGTCACCATCATCAAAGACCAAAGGTAGATAAAATCACAAAGATGGGGAAAAAACAGAGCAGAAAAATTGGAAACTCTAAAAATCAGAGCACCTCTCCTCCTCCAAAGGAATGCAGCTCCTTACCAGCAGCGGAACAAAGCTGGATGCAGAATGACTTTGACAAGTGGAGAGAAGAAGGCTTCAAACCATCAAAGAACTCTGAGCTAAAGGAGGAAGTTCAAACCCATGGCAAAGAAGTCAAAAACCTTGAAAAAAAATTAGACAAATGGCTAACTAGAATAACCAATGCAGACAACACCTTAAAGGACCTGAGGGAGCTGAAAACCATGGCATGAGAACTATGTGACGAATACACAAGCCTCAGTAGCTGATTCGATCAACTGGAAGAAAGGGTATCAGTGATGGAGATCAAATGAATGAAATGAAGTGAGAAGAGAAATTTAGAGAAAAAAGAATAAAAAGAAATGAACAAAGCCTCCAAGAAATATGGGACTATGTGAAAAGACCAAATCTACGTCTAATTGGTGTACCTAAAAGTGACGTAGAGAATGGAACCAGGTTGGAAAACACTCTGCAGGGTATTATCCAGGAGAACTTCCCCAATATGGCAAGGCAGGCCCACATTCAAATTCAAGAAATACAGAGAATGCCACAAAGATACTCCTCAAGAAGAGCAACTCCAAGACACATAATTGTCAGATTCACCAAAGTTGAAATGAAGGAAAAAATGTTAAGTGCAGCCAGAGAGAAAGGTTGGGTTACCCACAAAGGGAAGCCCATCAGACTAAAAGATGATTGCTCACCAGCAACTCTACAAGCCAGAAGAGAGTGGGAGCCAATATTCAACATTCTTAAAGAAAAGAATTTTCAACCCAGAATTTCATATCCAGCCAACTAAGCTTCATAAGTGAAGGAGAAATAAAATCCTTTACAGACAAGCAAACGCTGAGAGATTTTGTCACCACCAGGCCTGCTCTAAAAGAGCCCCTGAAGGAAGCACTAAACACGGAAAGGAACAACCAGTACCAGCCACTGCAAAAACATGCCAAATTATAAAGACCATCAAGTCTAGGAAGAAACTGCATCAACTAATGAGCAAAATAACCAGCTAACGTCATAATGACAGGATCAAATTCACACATAACAATATTAACCTTAAATGTAAATGGGCTAAATGTTCCAATTAAAAGACACAGACTGGCAAATTGGATAAAGAGTGAAGACCCATCAGTGTGCTGTATTCGGGAAACCCATCTCACATGCAGAGACACACATAGGCTCAAAATAAAGGGATGGAGGTAGATCTACCAAGCAAATGGAAAACAAAAAAGGCAGGGATTGCAATCCTAGTCTCTGATAAAACAGGCTTTAAACCAACAAAGATCGAAAGAGACAAAGAAGGCCATTACATAATGGTAAAGGGATCAATTCAATAAGAGGAGCTAACTATCCTAAATATATGTACACCCTATACAGGAGCACCTAGGAAGTAATTAGAGACTACAAAGAGACTTAGACTCCCACATAACAATAATGGGAGACTTAAATATGCCACTGTCAACATTAGACAGATCAACGAGACAGAAAGTTAACAAGGATATCCGGAACTGAACTCAGCTCCGCACCAAGTGGACCTAATAGGCATCTACAGAAATTTCCACCCCAAATCAACAGAATATACATTCTTTTCAGCACCACACCACACCTATTCCAAAATTGACCACATAGTTGGAAGTAAAGCACTCCTGAGCAAATGTAAAAGAACAGAAATTATAACAAACTGTCTCTCAAACCACAGTGCAATCAAACTAGAACTCAGGATTAAGAACACCACTCAAAACCACTCAACTACATGGAAACTGAAAAACCTGCTCTTAAATGACTACTGAGTACATAACGGAATGAAAGTAGAAATAAAGATGTTCTTTGAAACCAACAAGAACACAGGCACAACATACCAGAATCTCTGGGACACATTCAAAGCAGTGTGTAGAGGGAAATTTATAGCACTAAATGCCCACAAGAGAAAGCAGGAAAGATGTAAAATTGACACCCTAACATCGCAACTAAAAGAACTAGAGAAGCAAGAACAAACACATTCAAAAGCTATCAGAAGGCAAGAAATAAGATCAGAGCAGAACTGAAGGAAACAGAGACACAAAAAGCCCTTCAAAAAAATCAATGAATCCAGGAGCTGGTTTTTTGAAAAGATCAAGAAAATTGATAGACCGCTAGCAGGATTAATAAGGGAGAAAATAGAGAAGAATCAAATAGACACAATAAAAATTGATAAAGGGGATATCACCACCAATCCCACAGAATTACAAACTACCATCAGAGAATACTATAAACTCCTGTATGCAAATAAGCTAGAAAATCTAGAAGAAATGGATGAATTCCTCGACACATACACCCTCCCAAGACTAAACCAGGAAGAAGTTGAATCTCTGAATAGACCAATAACAGGCTCTGAAATTGAGGAAATCATTAATAGCTTACCAACCAAAAAAAGTACAGGACCAGATGGATTCACAGCTGAATTCTACCAGAGGTATAAGGAGGAGCTGGTACCATTCCTTCTGAAATTATTCCACTCAATAGAAAAAGAGGGAATCCTCCCTAACTCATTTTATGAGGCCAGCAGAGACACAAGAAAAAAGAGAATTTTAGACCAATATCCTTGATGAACATTGATACAAACATCCTCAATAAAATACTGGCAACCCAAATCCAGCAGCACATCAAAAAGCTTATCCACCATGATCAAGTGGGCTTTATCCCTGGGATGCAAGCCTTGTTCAACATACACACATCAATAACCATAATCCAGCATATAAACAGAACCAACAACAAAAACCATGATTATCTCAATAGATGTAGAAAAGGTCTTTGACAAAATTCAACAATGCTTCATGCTAAAAACTCTCAATAAATTAGGTATATATTCGATGTATCTCAAAATAATAAGAGCTGTCTATGACAAACCCACAGCCAATATCACACTGAATGGACAAAAACTGGAAGCATTCCCTTTGAAAGCTGGCACAAGACAGGGATGCCTTCTATCACCACTCTTATTCACATAGTGTTCAAAGTTCTGGCCAGGGCAATCAGGCAGGAGAAGGAAATAAAAGGGTATTCAATTAGGAAAAGAGGAAGCCAAATGTCCCTGTTTGCAGATGACGTGATTGTATATCTAGAAAACCCCATCGTCTCAGCCCAAAATCTCATTAAACTGAAGGCAACTTCAGTGAAGTCTCAGGATATAAAATCAATGTACAAAAATCACAAGCATTCTTATACACCAGTAACAGACAAAGAGAGAGCCAAATCCTGAGTGAACTCCCATTCACAATTGCTTCAAAGAGAATAAAATATCTAGGAATCCAACTTATAAGCAACGTGAAGGACCTCTTCAAGGAGAACTACAGAACACTGCTCAATGATATAAAAGAGGATACAAACAAATGAAGAACATTCCATGCTCATGGGTAGGAAGAATCAATATCATGAAAATGGCCATACTGCCCAAGGTAATTTATAGACTCAATGCCATCCCCATCAAGCTACCAATGCCTTTCTTCACAGAATTGGAAAAAACTACTTTAAAGTTCACATGGAACCAAAAAAGAGCCCGAATTGCCAAGTCAATCCTAAGCCAAAAGAACAAAGCTGGAGGCATCACACTACCTGACTTCAAACTATACTACACACTACAGTAACAAAAACAACATGGTACTGGTACCAAAACAGAGATATAGAACAATGGAGCAGATCAGAGCCCTCAGAGATAATGTCGCATACCTACAACTACCTGATCTTTGACAAACCTTACAGAAACAAGAAATGGGGAAAGGATTCCCTATTTAATAAATGGTGCTGGGAAAATTGGCAGCCATATGTAGAAAGCTGAAACTGGATCTCTTCCTTACACCTTATACAAAAATTAATTCAACTACTTGGGAGGCTGAGGCAGGAGAATGGCGTGAACCCGGGAGGCGGAGCTTGCAGTGAGCCGAGATCCCGCCACTGCACTCCAGCCTGGGCGACAGAGCAAGACTCCGTCTCGAAAAAAAAAAAAAAAAATTAATTCAAGAGGGATTAAAGACTTAAACATTAGATGTAAAACCATAAAAACCCTAGAAGAAAACCTAGGCAATACCATTCAGGACATAGGCATGGGCAAGGACTTCATGTCTAAAACACCAAAAGCAATGGCAACAAAAGCCAAAGTTGACTAATGGGATCTAATTAAACTAAAGAACTTCTGCACACCAAAAGAAACCACCATCAGAGTGAACAGGCAACCTACGGAATGGGAGAAAATTTTTGCAATCTACTCATCTGACATAGGGCTAATATCCAGAATCTACAATGAACTCCAACAAATTTACAAGAAAAAAACAAACACCCCATCAACAAATGGGCGAAGGATATGAACAGACACTTCTCAAAAGAAGACATTTATGCAGCCAAAAGACACATGAAAAAATGCTCATGATCACTGGCCATCAGAGAAATGCAAATCAAAACCACAATGAGATACCATCTCACACCAGTTAGAATGGCGATCATTAAAAAGTCAGGAAACAACAGGTGCTGGAGAGGATGTGGAGAAATAGGAACACTTTTACACTGTTGGTGGGACTGTAAACTAGTTCAACCATTGTGGAAGTCAGTGTGGCGATTCCTCAGGGATCTAGAACTAGAAGTACCATTTGACCCAGCCATCCCATTACTGGGTATATACCCAAAGGATTATAAATCATGCTGCTATAAAGACACATGCACACGTATGTTTACTGTGGCACTATTCACAATAGCAAAGACTTGGAACCAAGCCAAATGTCCAACAATGATAGACTGGATTAAGAAAATGTGGCACATATACACCATGGAATACTATGCAGCCATGAAAAATGAGTTCATGTCCTTTGTAGGGACATGGACGAAGCTGGAAACTATCATTCTCAGCAAACTATCTCAAGGACAAAAAGCAAAACACTGCATGTTCTTACTCATAGGTGGGAACTGAACAATGAGAACACATGGACACAGGAAGTGGAACATCACACACTGGGGCCTGTTGTGGGGTAGGGGGAAGTGGAGGGATAGCATTAGGAGATATTCCTAATGCTAGATGACGAGTTAATGGGTGCAGCACACCAACATGGCACATGTATACGTATGGAACAAACGTGGACATTGTGCACATGTACCCTAAAACTTAAAGTACAATAAAAAAAAGTTTGAGTGTTGTAACATCTTAATGTAAGTGAACATGTCCTGAATTAGGTATTTCGTGGAAGTGCAAACGTAACAAACAGCAAAAGGCATTCAAAAATACTTGAAAGAGTAGGCAAAAGACTGAATATGAGGTTTATAAAACAGAGAATTGTACCTCCCCATGATTTGTGACCCAAATGACTTGGAGGATAAAATGCTGCTAATCCTGGTAATGAACACATTTCTCTCTAGAGACTGACTGACTCCAAATTTGAAGCCAAATTTACTTTTATGGCCATGCTTAAACTAACATAATAATATATTGGTCTAATTTCTTCTATGAAATCAGATCGAAAAATAAATAATCTTGTATTCAGACTTTCTGTGTGTTCTGTTTTCATCTTAGTACTGTAGCTTAAGATCACTTTGTGACTTTTTCTTGTATTTTCCCAAAGGCTATTGCAAAAGCAAGGAAGTTGTGATCTAGTTTTGTGGCAGAACAAGTATGGTCTAGAGGGAAAACTGACTTGGAGCAACAGATGTGGTTTTAGACATGTTGAGTTTAAGGTGGTGTCAAGATATTCCATTGAAAATGGAAGTTACAGAACTATGACTGAAGGTCAGGGAACACTCTGAATGGTGAACGCAGGCTGGAAAGTCATTCAACCATGACATACTGACCTGGAGACACATAGCTAGTGGTATCCTAAATATTTAGGCTTGGGTTTACATTTTACAACTAGCAGATGACATAATAAAGCCAATCAAAGATGCGAGCAGAAAGGGAAAGAAAACAAGGGAGTGAATAGCCAAGGGACACATTTTGCAAGGCTCAGTCAAGTTGACTATACTGAATGTTGTGGAGAGCTGTCAAAGAAAGTAAAGACAGAAGATTTTGTAATGGTAAGGTTGACCTTGAAGAGTATATTTTCAGTGGAGTAGTAGGGGCAGGATTCTTTTGGAAAATGAAATGAGTGAATAATGATGAAAAGGAGATAAGCAAACAAGAAAAAAGATTAATAGCTTTAGGGAGGTGTTTTCAAGGGAAAGTATTTTTTAATAACTTTAATAGCTTATTGCTTTATTCAGTGAAAAATGAGCCTACTGTAAGATTTGAAAATACAAAAAGTACAAAGAAGGACGCAAAAAAAACCATGTGAAATGCAACAATAAAAAAAAAACTACCCTTATTGTTTTGAAAAACATACTTGCAGGTTTCAATTAATAGAGCATACAATTCATTGAAAAGAGTATGTTAAATTTTTTTGGAAAATACTTGTTAAACATACAATGTTAATATTGATTAAAATACATTTCTTGGCCAGGCACAGTGGCTCGTGCCTGTAATCTCAGCATTTTGGGAGGCCAAGGTAGGTGGATCACCTGCGGTCAGGAGTTCGAGACCAGTGTGACCAACATGGAGAAAGCCCATCTCTACTTAAAATACAAAATTAGCTGGGCATGGTGGCACATGCTTGTAATCCCAGCTACTGAGGAGGCTGAGGCAGGAGAATTGCTTGAACCCAGGAAGGGGAGGTTGCAGTGAGCCGAGATTGCGCCATTGCACTCTAGCCTGGGAACAAGAGCAAAACTCCATCTCTCACACACACACACATACACACACGCACACACACAAAGAAAATATATTTCTTAGTGAGATGCATGATATTGTTCCTGCCCCCTTCTCATTTACTCTCATTCTCTCTTGTAGACTAGAAAACTATTGCTAAATGCCAGAGTGAGACAGCATTCATTATTAATTCAATTTTTACTTTTTTCTCTCTATGGATGGAAGTGTCAAAAAGAGACTTTGTTCCCGTGAATATGTATATAGGAATGGAAGAATGAATTTTTAAAGCAATTTCACTCAATTCTTTGAATTCTTCATGTATTAAATACCGAAAACTATATACATGACAACTGCAAGTCATTCAATTTTGTTGAAACAAGCATTGAAAATTGCTTGACTTAGAAGAGGAGTTACTATTTAGCCTTTAGAAATTGTTCACCTTGTGAAGCCAATGCCTTACATTTCTAATCTTAAAAGGTAAACTGAGGCACATTTTTAAAGAGTTTGAGCAAGAAATATTCCATGAATTGTGCAGCTCCAAAGTAGAAGCCATTCAGGAGCTCCATCAAGGGAAAACAATGGGGAGAATTTTATAAAACACACACAGAACTAAAGCAGATGGTATTTGATTGGTTACAATTACACAGTTGCCTCATTTGATCAGTCCCATCGGGAAGTCCTAATTATATAAGTTTGTTAACTGCTTCTAATTGGTTGAGTTTACATTCTTTTTTTTAGATATAAACATTTACAAGAAAGAGCTGAAGTTAAGTTTTGCTTATGTTTGCGAATCAAGCAAGGTTGAAGTCACTTCTGAGGCCTGTTGTTTTCTTCTAAGAGATTCTTCAGGTCTGGTCTCTATGTTAAGTTGTATCAGCCTTAAGGAACCTCTTGTCCTCGATGTGTTTCTTTTTTTGCTTGTTTTTATTTTTGCCTTTTTATTTTAAGATAAAACTCAGATATGGAAAGCACACAAGTGTATGGTTTTATTTCCACCACACAGATATAAAGCAACAGAATATTGCCTACCAAACTAGTATTCCAATGCAGATACCTTGTCCAAATCACCATTCCCTTTAGGCCTTTCACAAAACTGAGAAATTTGTCTGTGTTATTAGGAAGCCACACAGTGGCCAATGAAGAAATGAATACCAAAGACAGTTAGACTTAGAAGAAATACATGATGAATCAAGGTCTTGAAGAAGGCCTGAGTGGAAAGAATCAGATAAATTCTACGTCACTGACAAAGGTTAGTCTTGGAAAAATGAAATTTCTTTTACTGCAAGTCAGAGAAAAGAGAAGAGAGGACAAGTTCATTCAACCTGTCATTTAATAAAGATTTATTAAGGCCCTATTACTTGACAATAGTGTAGAAAGCACTGGAGAGAGATTTTAAAGAGGAAAATAAACTGTACTTGGGCTCTCCAGTTAGATGGACTTAATTGCTTCAAAAAAGGAGGAGATGAGGTTGTGGTTTTCAATAAAAGCTGTTTAGGGGATTGTGGATTTGGACATGTGAAGAGTGGGGACAAAATTTCAAAAAGCTACAGTAGAGAAAACCCTACAGAATCAATACATTTTATTTGCAGGACTCTGGAAAGAGCCAAGTCTACCATTTTGTTTTAAAAGCTAAGCTTGGAATGCTTATATCAGACACCACAGTGAATCTAATTGTTTCTATTTTTATAATTGGACCTACTGCTGGAGTGATGCCAAAACAAACATACCAAATTAAAGTACAAACACTAATAAAACATAACAGGAGCAGAATGCTGCAAACTCAACTGCTTATTTAAAAAAAATGATTAGCTTTAAAATGTTAGCATGTCAGAAAACAATTTCCTTTTACTAACATCAGTTTTGAAGGTCCACTAATCAAAAATATATAGAATTAGGACAGGCAGTGAATTCAATAAAGTAGACCTTGCAGTAAAATAAAATTTGCTGCAGGCCCATGCTATTGGAATTAGAAAGGCGTCGTCAATCATATGCCTGCAGATCAGAGGTCTCAGTGAGCCAGTGATAATTCTCATGTTTAGAGTCCCCCTGTTATAACATGTCATCTTTTTAAATATCCTATTTGATGCAATATTTAATTGTCTCTTTAAGGGTGATGAAAAAAATACTAGGATGCTTGAACACTTTAAAAATAAAAATATCCAAATGAGGCAGGCAGTGGGACTTCTTTTGTGTTTTCCTTTCTTTGAGCAAGACAGCATTTTTCTTTCAGTTCTTTCCTTCTGTTCTCATGAATTAATCTGCATTTTGTGATTTTAGATCTGTGCAGGGTGGAGTGTGATTACTGAGGTCTTAATCAACATTTAGGCTGACAGATAACGTAGAACCAGCTATTATCTTCTGTGCAGAGAGATATGTTTATTGTAAATGCTGTGGGCTCTGAAAAGTTGGGAGACGAGACTTTTGAAATGGATGAGAGTGTCAAAGTGTTGCTTTAGATCCCTATATAGGTGAAAGAACTGCAAAGATGACTTGGAAAGAAAGAGTTATTTGTGATATATTTGAATGGAAGATAAAAAAGGAAATTATTTTACTTCAAATATGATATGTTTTGTAATTATTAACTGAATTATAGAATTTGAATAGGAAGTGATTTCATAAAGCAATCACTCTAGTGATTTCCCAATACTGATTTCCAGACAGACACAAGACTGGGATAATATTTTCACTACTCCACGGCAGAATTTAAAAAAAATAAGATATCATTATAGACAGATTTTCAATGAAGCTAGATTTGTTACTTGATTTTAATTTAATATTACATTATTTTTATTTGTAGTCTTAAAATACTCTTTCCTCTTTGAGATGACAGATGTATATGGTAGGATGTGTAAAATGCTCTTGGTTAGATTAAATGAAACAATCATTGTTCTTTTGGAAATTGGAGTAGGGCTAATGTGAAGCTAGACGAGAAAGTAGGCAGCATGTGGTTTGAGGAACAAGATCTTCTTGTGCCTGAGCTCTTCCTCTATGTACTCAATATCCTTATTTTGCTATCCAGTTTACAATGTCATTTTGTTCCCTACTCCCTTCTTTCCCAAATTGAAATCAACTTTGAAAAAGAATCAGCTTTCAGCCATTTATCCAACTCACAGGCAAGGTGAGAGTGCACTGTAGGTGCTAGAAACAAAAATCCACTGCTCTCAATTTTATTTTCTCATGTACGTTAATCCCTCTATCTCTACCAGCTCAGTATACATATACAACTGTGATCTAAATTCTTATATTGCTTTTATAAATTAGAATTTTTCCCATTGTTTAAGCCCCTGCCGCCTACCCCTTCATTACTTTTCTCCACTAAGCATGCTGTACCCACTTCTCTCATTTCTTCCCACTGGCTTTTCAGTTCAGTTCAATTTGGTTTTGGTCTCATTCCACTGGAACTACTTTTATCAAGGACAGCATTCCCATCTGTATTATTAAAACCACTGGTTACTTTACCATTTTCCTCTTACTCAAATTCTCAGCATTATTCTGCACATTAGCAACTCTCTTTTCTTCAAACACAGAACTATGCCAAAATTGTCCTATTCTAGAGAGTTGGCAGCTGTTTTCTCACTCTTTTGCAATGGTTGCTCTTTCTGATATATCAAATAGGAATTCCTTGGAGAAAGCTTCACTTAGTTCCCAAAATCCAATAGTTCTGTCTGTTATACCAACCATCACTACCGTCTGTTACTCTCTTTCAGCATCCCAAAGTTTCCTTCACAGCATTTACAATTGCTTGTGACTTTTATTTATTATCTGTCTCTCCCTGTACATAAAGCTTAAAGAAGTCAGGGACCATTAACCCCATATTCATTGCTGTACCTCCAGAACCCAGCACAGTGCTTGTTGCATAGTATTAAATATTCATTGAATATTTATTATTCAGTGAATAATAAATTTAATAATCTCAAATAATAATGAAGATCAATAATAATCTTGAATCTTAATAAAGATTCATTGAATAATTTGATGGATAGATGAATGCCAAGAATCCCACAATATTTTTTACTAGCCTCAACTTGAAAACTCATTCCAAGACTTTTGCATTTTATCTTTGCAATGATTCTTGCATCTGCCTCTTTCTTCCAGTCCTTTCTTCCACTTTCCTTGCCCAGGCCACCATCAGCTATTAGTTGAACCACTTAATAAAACTCATAACTCACCTTCTGTTTCTCTTGCTGATCTTCAACCCATCCTATATATTGCAGTTAGTCTTATAACCTTCGTGAAACTCAGATCTTATTTTCCTATGAAAAAACAATAACAAAAAAAACTTGCCTTTATGTAGACAGTTTGTTCTAAACTTTCTTTCCTGGCATTTATGCTCCTTGAAGATCTGTCTTTAACTGACACCAGCTCTAAGTTGTCATAATGTATTTGCCTAGCTCTTTTTTTGTGTGTACTTCTCTTTTGACACTTTTAGGACTCAATGTTGTGTTATTACAACATTTAATAGAATGAGAACATGTTGAAAGCAGATACATGGTATGTTTTCTAATCTCAGCACTTACCACAGTTTTTGATACACACAACTCTATAAATATTTGCTGAATAAATCATTGTGTGACCCTCTTCTTGAAGTTCTATGTTCAATATCAAAGAGAATATAGAATATAAAAATGATTAACTGCAAACCCTATATAGTGTTTGGTGTAACTAAAAATACTGAATTCTGTACATTTTGTTTAAGGCAATGGATATGACTTAATAGCTGTGTTACAGTTAAATATTGGTGTGCAACTGATGCCTGCAGTTTCCTGAGCCAAAAGAGAAAAAATCTTGTCCTTAGATATTTTTCAACTGAAAAGTCCTCCAATTAATTAGAAGACCCTTAGCAAAAAACCTGTTGATGCATGTTGCCTTTTCCCCAGAAAGATCTGCAAGATATGAAGAGAACAATAGCCTCAGGCAGTACACTCAGAAGATGAAAGTGTATAATGTGAAAAAACACACTGAGTATTTCTAGCACAGGCTGACTGCCTGCAGGTCCTGATATTTACCCTCAAGCATGCTGCTCAGAATTCCATTATAGAGGAATTAAAGTGGCCAAGCATATATGTATGTGTGTGTGTCTGTGTGTGTGTGTATGAGCGATGGAGTTTCACTCTTTCATATATATATATATATATATATATATATATATATATATACACACACACCCACATATATACATTTATGTATACACACACATATATACATATATGTGTGTGTATGTATATATATATGAGTGAAACTCCATCTCTCTCACACACACGTGTGTGTGTGTGTGTGTGTGTGTGTGTGTGTGTATAACTGTTCCAGTTATATTTGTTAACATTTAGAAGAGGGTTGACATGATGTGCATAATTTTAATCAATCCTGGTGTTGTCTCTGAGTAAACAAAGTGCATGACTGATATTTGAGATACTTCATGCCTTATCTCTGGATATCTACTTATGTTCTATTTTCATTTGTTTGTTTGTTTGTTTTTGAAGTGGAGTTTCGCTCTCGTTGCCCAGGCTGGACTGCCATGGCATGATCTCAGCTCACCATAACCTCCACCTCCCAGGTTCAAGCAATTCTCCTGCCTCAGCCTCCCGAGGAGCTGGGATTACAGGCATCCAACACCACGCCCGGCTTATTTTATATTTATATATTTTTTTTTGAGATGGAGTTTCAATCTTTCTTCCTGTCTGGAGTTCAATGGTTCAATGGTGCAATCTCGGCTCACTGCAACCTCCACCCTTCTGGTTCAACTGATTCTCCTGCATATGCCTCCTGAGTAGCAGGATTACAGGCACCCACCACCATGCCTGGCTAATTTTTGTACTTTTAGTAGAGATGGGGTTTTGCCATTTTGGTCACAGTGGTATCAAACTTCTGACTTCAGGTGATCTGCCCACCTGGGCCTCCCAAAGCGTAGGATTACAGGCATAAGCGAACATGCTTGGCCTTCTGTTTTCATCTTATACCATGACTGGTTCATCTTCCAGCTATGCTCCAGTCACCCTGAATTATCTTATAGTCACTTGATTCCAATAATGCACAAGCTTTTTTGTCTCCAGGCTCTGACACAGGCTGTTTCCTCTGTTTGGACTCCCCTTCCCTTCTTTTCTGCCTAAAATATTTCTACTCATTCTCCTATATCCAGAGCTCTTGATGCACATTCTGAGTTAGTAAGCAAAATATATATGTATGTTCTATAAATGTTTATTGAAAGAATTATCATAAATTTCATCATTTTTAAAAAGGGTCTGTGACCCCATAAATATTAAGATTCATTTATTTCTGCCTGTAATCAAATGTGACACAGTGAAGGCATACACAGACCTCCTCATTTCCCACTGCCCGAAACAAGTTATCTGTCACAGATATTCTGTCCCTTTTCTCAGTTTTTATAGCACACTTTACATATTACTCTCCTTTTTTTTGTTTGTTTTTTTTTTTTTTTTTGAGACAGAGTCTTGTTCTTTTGCCTAGGCCAGAGTGCAGTGGCGTGTTCTTGGCTCACTGCAAACTCTGCCTCCTGAGTTCAAGCAGTTCTCCTGCCTCAGCCTCCCTGGTAGCTGGGAGGCTCCCAAGTATTCTCCCAAGTACTCCCACCATGCCTGGCTAATTTTTTGTAGAGATGGGGTTTTACCATGTTAGCCAGGATTGCCCCAATCTCCTGACCTCATGACCCTCCCGCCTTGCCCTCCCAAAGTGCTGGGGTTATAGGCATGAGCCACTACATGCAGACTAGTATCGCTCGTTTTATACCATTTCTACTTGTATCCCTTTGGACTGAGCTATCACTGAAGGCAGGAACAATGTCTTATTCACCTTTGCTCACAGAAATTAGCACAAATGGATTCATTTTAGCTGGGAGAATGTTGAAGCTTAAGTCAACTTGCCTGGAATTTAAAGGTTTGCATATGCTAAAATTCTGGAGGATACAGTGCTTGCATCTTCTAACTATTACCCATACATTTAAATTTTTGACAGTCATTGCCCTTCTTCAGGTTACAATGTGAATACCAAGAAATACAACATTTCTCCTTAATAAAATATGACAACCTTGAGCTGTGATAGTCTGACACAAACACAATCAGTGTGGTGCTATCTTCTTCTCCAATATAATTTCTTCCAATTATTTTAATTATATGAGTTATAGAAATAAAATAAATAAGTAAAACAAAGGGGAATAAATTGTTGGCAAAATAATTAAAAAGTCTCAGAACTTCAGGATGCTTATTTATAGATTAAAAGGTGAACACCTAGCAAAATAGATGAAAATAGACTCATGTCAAGATATGTCAATGTAAAATTTGAGAACACTGAGAACAAAGAGAAAATTGTATAAGTTTCCAGAGAGGTAAAAATAGGTCAGGTACAAAGGATGAGGAATCAGATGATTTAAAGATTGTCAACATTGGCCAGGCATGGTGGCTCATGCCTGTAATCCCAGCACTTTGGGAGGCCAAGGTGCACTTTGGGAGGCTAAGGCAGGTGAATCACCTGATGTCCGGAGTTTGAGACCAGCCTGACCAACATGGAGAAACCCTGTCTCTACTAAAAATACAAAATTATCCAGGCATGGTGGTGCCTGCCTGTAATGCCAGCTACTCTACAGCCTGAGACAGGAGAATTGCTTGAACCCAGGAGGCGGAGTGTGTGATGAGCTGAGATTGTGCCATCGCACTCCAACCTGGGCAACAAGAGCGAAACTCCATCTCAAAAAAAAAAAAAAAAAAATCAACACCATCACTATAAACCTGAAGGCAATGGATTACAGTTATGCTTTAAAAATTCTAAAAGAAAATAATTTCTGACATATGTTTTTGTTTCCACATAGACTAAAATCAAATATACAAGTAGAAAACATACATTTTTCAGACATATGACAACTGTAAAATTTTGTCTCCCTGTGAAGCTTTTCTCAGGAAACTGCTAGAGATTTTTTTCCTACCAAAAGGAAGAAGTAAACCAAGACAGATAAATATGTGAAATGCAGAAAATAAGAGACAGAACAAAAGAGAGAGATAAATTCGTAAAAGGGTAATGAATGAAATTCCTAGGATGAGACAATTGAATGAGGCCTAGAGGGCAACCAGTCAGACTGTTGCAGCAGCCTACAAGAGAGTGTTCTTCAAGGTGGGAGCATTTATAGAACAATTCATGTGAATAAAAGTCTTGATATGAGATTTAAAAAAATTAGTAAAGAATTTTCAATTGAATTAGCACAAGTTAAAATAAAATTAAGTGGAAATTGAGCAACAAAATTATAACCACTATTTCTCAGCAATTCATGGTTATCATAATAGAAATTTAAGCGTACTGAGAACTTAATGATACCGAAATTATTACAGATTAAATTTGTGAGTAGCAGGAAAAGTGATATTACAATAGGAGTTTATAGACAAATGTTTCTATGACAACTTGAAAATTAATGTACTAGATATTTAAATAAAGTATTAGAAAAGAAACAGCAGCATCAATTCTGAAAAACTAAAGTGAGGGGATAATGATGCAGGGAAAATTAGTAAAACATACAAAGCTAACTTTTGGTTGTTGGAGAAATATAGTAAATGGTACAAACCTCAGGCAAGTTTAGATAAAAAGGGAGAAAGCACAAATAAAACTAAGAATTTAAAAGATACATAACTATAGATACAGTATAGATTAAGAAGCTAATAAGGAAATATTATTAACACTTCATCCTACAAATTTGAAAACTTAGATCAAATAGAGATATTTATAATCTGTCTATATATATAGACATATATATAGCTTTCTATATATTTTTTCATATTTAATTTTTTATATTTACATCTTATATTTATATATAATATATAAAGATAAATATAATCTATGTATATAGCTTGGTAAAATTGATATAAGAAGACATATATAATCTGAATAGTCTCATAAATGTTCAAGGAAATAAAGGATTGTTCCTAGAGATAAAACAACAGGCTCACATTTTTTCCCCAGGCAGAGCATTTCAATATATATGAAGAATTCTATAAAATAAAAAAGGGAAAATCCTAAACTTATTCTGTGAGGCAAGCAGGACTTTGAAGCCAACAAGACATAAACTGAGTAGATAAAAAGATATGAAAACTAAAGTCCATTCTCATTCGTGAAACAAATGGTAAAATCCCAAATGTAACAAGATTTATGTGGGTTCTTTGAGGGTTAGAAGGAAATTTGCTTCTGCCCGATCCTGCTACTCTAGGACAACCCACACGCAAATTTATGTTTTGAGATTTTCTATAATACCCATGCAATATGGAACTGGCTTGACAATCTGTGTGATAGCCAGCCTGTGGCCACGACTTCTCAGGGACACAAATTGTTTCTGTTTGCCTCCTTCTTCTGCTCAGCTCCAAGAGAACTTTGACCAAAGTTCCTTGAGCTTGGAAATAGGAATGGGTGGGTTTACTTCTGTTTCACCATTACTGTGAAGATACGGTCTGGTGGAATCCAGATCCACTGGGAGAGAGTTGGCTATTAAACTCTTTTCCTGAGTAGTCCCTAGGCCTTGACTAGAGCCTTTCTTGAGATATGAGGCTAATAGTTCCTTCTTGGTCCACCACTTTTTGATATAATTAATGTTTCTTCCACTGGGAATTTTTAATGGTTTGGGAAGTGACATGGTTTGGTGTGTCTCCATTCAAATCTCTACTTCAATTGTATCTCCCAGAATTCCCACGTGTTGCAGGTGGGACCCAGGGGGAGGTAATTGAATCATGGGGGCTGGTCTTTCTCATGCTATTCTTGTGATAGTGAATAAGTCTCAAGAGATCTGATGGGTTTTTCAGAGATTTCCGCTTTTGGTTCTTTCTCATTCTCTCTTGGCATTGCCATGTAAGAAGTGCCTTTATTCCTATACCATGATTCTCAGACCTCCCCAGCCATGTGGAAGTGTAAGTCCAATTAAACGTCCTTTTCTTCCCAGTCTCAGGTATGTCTTTATCAGCAGCGTGAAAATTAACTAAGACAGGAGGGTTGGTCCAAATAACTTTGACTTCCATTACAGAAGATAGAAGTTGGTGAAATGTTTAATCTTTTCTGTGGCAAACTTTAGCAGTGGGTATTATTTTTCTAATTGTTTTTTGTTCTATTCACCTTTCTCATAGGGTACTCTTGCTCTGTAGCCCAGGCTGGAGTGCAGTGGCAGGATCTTGGCTCAACACATCCTTCGCCTCCCAGGTTCAGGCTCTCGAGTAGCTGGGATTACAAGCATGCATCACCACGCCCAACTAATTTTTTGTATTTTTAGTAGAGGCTGGGCTTCACCATGTTGGCCAGGCTGGTCTCCAACTCCTGACCTCAGGTGATCCACCTGTCTCAGCCTTCCAAAGCCCAAAGTGCTGGGAATGAAAGCTTGAGCCACTGTGCCCAGCCAACTCCAGTATTTTTTACCTAAGCGAGTGGAGTTCTGTTTTGTTTTTTTTTTTTCCTGAGACAGGGTCTTATTGTGTCATCCAGGCTGGAGTGTAGTAATGTGATCTTGGCTAACTGCAACCTCTGCCTCCCAGGTTCAGGCAGTTCTCCTGCCTCAGCCTCCCGAGTAGGTGGGACTACAGGAATGTGCCATTAGGCCTGGTTAATTTTTGCGTTTTTGGTAGAGACATGTTTTTGCCATATTGCCCAGGCTGGTCTCGAACTCCTGACCTCAAGTGACCCACCAACCTCAGCCTCCGAAAATGTGGAAATTACAGGCAAGAGCCAGCAGGCCCAGCCTGGAGTTGCTTTTTTTTTTTTTGACATAAAAAGAAATCTGTGGAGGAAAAAGCTTGGTTTGTGGGAGCACCTGAGCTCAGTTTGGCTCACCTATTATTGACTGGCAGTGAAGGTATGTTGTTAATGTACAATATGTTCATGTACATAGCATATGTATATGCTCATCAGGTATTTTCAGGTAAAAAATAGTCATTCCCATAGTTTGAGCCATTACAGAAATTGCCACCAGGGGATTTCACAGTTGAATTCCAGTTCTGGGCAACAGTGATTAACATAATGGTTATTAACAAGAAGAGATTTTGAGACATCCAGCCATGTTTAGATGTCAGGGCCTTGAAGGGATAGGTTTGGCATATTAGTAAGAAAGAGTGCATTGGACTGGATACTAAGAAACACGTTGAATTATTTTTCTTGCCTCTATAACATGAAAGGACACTTAGAGATACAGAAATAATGGAACATTTCACAGCATGGCTTGACATTTCACTGAACTTTTATCCATTTAACCATGTACAAAGTTTATTAAATATGCAAAGGTAGGACTGCTCTAGGAAGAAAGAGGTAGAGTCAGAGGTCACAATCCATAGCAAGATAACACTGTCTTCTGGATTGCACCCTGAGAGCTGAATTAGAGTGAGAATTAACTTTCAGGTTGCCAAAAGAGAACAAGGAGAATGAAGCTATCAGCAGTTAACAGTATTGGATTAATTGAAATGAATGTTGACAGAGATTTTTTTGTCTTTCCATCAAATTGAGTATAGAAAAGGTAACCGCTTATCAAATTTCACACATATACAATTGTGGATTAATTAAAAGATTACACAACCCACATATTATGGGTATCTCTTGTAAATGTATATGTACATGGGCAAACTCACAGTGTGCAAATATGTGTCTATATCTAAATATACACAAATCCATTGATCAACAGTTAGAAAGTTAGAAATTATTCTCCCATTTTACCATTCCCTTTCCTAGAATTTTGTCACAAATATAATTTTTCCATATGTTTGAAGCCTACTCTCTGGAGGCATGTAGTGTATATGTACAGTAAAGCTGTGAGATATCACAATGTTGTTGTCAGAGAAAACAATAACACTGGTGTTATGAAAGATTAATTGTGAGGAGAAAGTTATACTTCACATTACTACAAATACACAAGCATGATTTCATCCAAAGCTGAAATCAGTCAATATAATTTGTTTTTAATATTTTATTTAAAATACTTAATTTCAACAGTATTACTCAAGGAAAATAATGGTATTTGTAATAAATAATGTTGAAGAATTCCCTTTGTTAATTATTTAAAATGTAAGTAAAATACTAAAAAGTACTGTATAATATAGTTGCATGAAGCATTCTTTGTGGTTTTCATAAAATTAATAGTCTCAATGGAATATTTTGAGACTGAGAAAGTTCCATATATCATTGTAATGTACTTTCACTTTATTACTTGCTTGCATGTCATAAATGATGGAAATAAAAACATTTATATTTACAAATATGCAAAACATGGATTTTCATTTATGTTTTCTAGTGATACAAAGTTACCAATAATTTTATCTATATAGGAAAATTTTTACAAACCCAAAGTTCTTAACTTTCTTTTCTTTTGAAGTTTCATATTTCAGTCTAGGTATGAAATGGAATTTGCTGTTATCATTCTTTGATTTCATGTTATTGGTGAGTTTCTGACAGTGTTAGGAATGTATAGACTTTAAAGCTTGCTTTCTTCTTCTACTTCTTCATTTCCCTTTGGACCTGTATCTGTGATGTCTGCAGTAATGTGCATCATTATCTCACATATGGTTGCTGAAAGATACAAGCATAAATAGAATTCTTAGTTTCAGTGAATCTTTAGGAACAGACAATAACACTGAAAGATAATTATGGTATGGATGTAAGTAAGCAGTTTATCACAGAGGTACAATAAGGGCGAAAATAAATTTAAAAATACATGCCTCATCCAAAACATGAGGTAGTACAAATGAAAAATTTAATTTGGCATAAAGAACAGTTTAAAAGTTCTGATTATTTCTGGTGAGAGGAAGTATCTCTGAAACCATGAGAAAGTCCTTCAAAGCTGCATGTTGGATTTGCAGGTCAGGATGGAAAGCCTGGTTCTAGGGGAGGGTGCTAAGGTCCTGGTCAGTTTGAGGTCCTCCTGGGACTCAGGGGTGTCTCAGTGGGAGAGCTGGGAAGGGGAAACACATGCTTCACCCCAGCTAGCAGGCCACCTCAGCCCACCTAGATGAAATTGTCCCTTGACCATCTCTTTCTCCTTCTCAGACAGGCAGGTGGAAGAACTCAGCCATCCTGAGAACAAGTGGTAGGAAGAAATTTGCCTTTCATCACAACATTTACTTCTGCATTGAAGTGATCACTAAGGAGTATTGCATTGGCATCTGCAATGAGGAGCGCCTCCCCGCATGGTAGAGGGAGTGGTATGTGGGAAGCTGGGCCTGGCATGAGCCTTTCTGAATTCTCTCCCTCCAGGATACAGGGCAACTGGCTCCACTGCAGTCCAGTGGTTCTAGGGTCATGCAGGTGAAGGCCCCAGTTTCAGGCAGAGCACTGCCTAACTGAGCTTCTTCAGTTGGTTGATTTACTGTGACTGTCCAGGGTATGGCAGGATTGCTGAGGTGAGGCGGCTATGGGGGGTCATGAGAAATGACCCTGTTGGTCATTCTTTGGCATCGGAAGAACTGGCTTTGAACCAGAACCTGACCTGTGATGAACACTTTGCCCAGTCCCCCAGATCATCAGCCAGGGCCTGTGGCTCAATATTCTGCAGCACTATGCAAGGGAGTTAGGCCCTCAGAGAGAGAACAGAGAAGAGGCCAGGGAAGCAGCCCAGGGCTGGGGGTTGACAGGCCTGTGGGTCCTGGAGTTAGGACACACATAGAGAAGCCAAGGCTCAGGGAGGAGACTGCAGTAAACAAACTCAGGCCATCATGGGCTGGTGGAGAAAGGCCCATCAGGGAACTGTAGTACCCACATTTCATGATGGGGGAACCCTAATCCACTTAATAGGCATAAGTAGCTAAGGTCAATGGGTGGGAAGCCAGGATGAAGAGATAGCTGCCTCATCATCCCTTGCTAGCTCCTTCCCTGTCCTGAGGCTTGCTACTACCTGGGGTTCAGTTTGGGATCAACCAGGGCTCTCTCACCCTCCACACAGATGCCTACCTGAGGCCTCTCTAGGTCTGCGTCCTCCCAGAATGGCTCTCCCAGGCCTGCTACGTCCCGTTTGGATGACACCACGCTCCCCTGACATGCTTGGTCCCCTCCGCCATCCTCATTCACCCAGCAACTCCCCACCCCCCAAACAGGCAGGCCACTGCACAGGGAATCTGGAGGACCACACAGGGCTCACAGGGGAGGAAATGTGAAGAGATGGCAAAATGGAACGGGACCTTCTGTGTGTTTCCAGAAGGCAATCTGGCTGGACATTCAGGCCCACCTCAGTATTGGTGAGGACACCCAGTGTCTCTCGGCCCTGAGCATGTGCACACAAACACACACATTGTCTAAACGGCATTGACATCACTACTACCTGAGTCATCCTCAGATTCTATACAACCCCTGTAAAAATATCAATGACCCATTCTTCTTAGAAAAACCATCTGAGAATCCTAAATTTGCTATGAAATGGCAGAAGATCCTGAAAACCCAGAGCAATCCGGTAAAAAGCACAAAGCTGGAGCCACCACACTACCTAACTTCATGATATACTACTACAAAGCTTTGTGTACCAAAATACAATAGCACTGGCAGAAAAGCAGAGACTAGAGCTTAGGAAAAACAATAAAAGCCCACAACTAAGTCACTCCATTTGCAGCTCACAGCCTTTTCCCAAAGAAGCAAGAACGTCCAGTGCAAAATCAAGTATCTTCTATAAACTAGGTTGGGGAAATCTGAAGAGCCACATAAAGGATTTTACAGGTGGATTATTTATCAGCAAACTCCAGTGTCGCATCTGAAACAATAAAATTACCAGAAGAAATCACAAGGAAGAAGCTCCATGGCATCTGTGTGGGCCGTGATGGTCTCAAAGTGACTGCAAGAGCACAGTAAACACCATCAAAAACAGAGAATGGGGTTATATCAAACTAAAGTGCTTTGGCACACCACAGAAAACTAAACAGACGGAAGGGACATCCTACAGGATGGGAGAAATTATTGGATCACTATACATCTGTTAATGGGTGAATATTCACAGTACATAAGGAACTCCCAACAATCAATAGCATGAAAAGAAATGGATTAAGGATGTGAATATTCATCTGTGAAACTAAGACATACAGTTGCCCAGAAGACACACTAAAAAGCACTCATCATCCCTAATCCATCAGGAAAATGCAAATCAAAAACACAATGAGATTTCTTCTCACTTCAGTCAGAATACCTATTATCCAAAAGACAAAACAAACAAACAAACAAACAAAAAACCCTCATTTCTGGTGAGGATGAGGAGAAAAGGAAATCCTTGCGCACTTTTGGTGAGAATGTAATTTAGTGCAGGCATTACAAGAAGCTTTATGGCTTTTATTTAAGTATAGAGCCTTCAGAACTCTACAAGTAGAACCACCCATCATGTGATCCAGCAAATCAGAATACTGGGGCACACCCACAAGTACACAAATCAGTATGTTGAAGCAGTGTATGCACCCATGCAATTATTGCTGCACTCTTTACATTTTTGCTGTAGCCAAAACACGGAAGCAACCTGAGTGTCCCTCAATTGATAAGTGGATTAAAAAAATGGGGCAAAAACACATATGCACAATGGAAAAATGCACTGCAGTAATAAATAAGGAAATCCTGCCACTTGTGACAATACGTGTGAATCCGCTGAATGCGTGCATGCCATTTTCTTTAGTGACATAGGCCAGGTATCAGAAAGGCAAATAGCACGTGACCTCATTCTTATATGAAATCTGAAAAGCAGACCCCACAGAGGTAATGACTCCAATGGTTGGGGTGGTGTTTAGTGAAGAGGGTGCACTGAGGAGATGCTGGATCAAGAATACATATTTCTAGTTAGAAAGGAGGAATAGGTTAAAAACATTTTCTACAGCATGCTGATTATAACTAGTGATAACATATTCTTTCTCTAAAAAATTCTAAGACAGTGTCTTTCATGTTTTATCATCACAAAAATGCTAAGTATGTGAGGTCATGCATAGGTTGATTAGCTGGATGTATCCAATGCATAATGTATGTGATCTTTTGAACATCACCCTGTAAGTTATAAATATGTATCATTTCATATGACTATTTAAAAAATAAACATACAATTTTTAAAATGCCTTAAGAGAATAAATGTCAATAAAGTATTTTATTATAAAGCAGTGCTTTTCTTTTCTATCAAAGTCTTTTTCATGACACATGAAAGAATGCAACATCATTTGGTAAGTTAAAATATACACACACACACACACACACACACACACACACACGAACATCCCAGTGAATGTAGATGATCAACTGAAAGATTGAAATTACAGGTGCAGAATATAGTCCATAAATTGAAACCTTCACTGCATGTTTGAAAAGAAGACATGAGGAGGCAGAAGAAAAAAGCAAAAAACTCAAAGCCATGCCAGGGCCCTGGGTCACACCTGTAATCCCAGCACTTTGAGAGGCCGAGGTGGGAGGATTGCCTGCACTAAGGAGTTCCAGATGAGCCCGGGGCAACATGCGCCCACGTGTAAAAAGTAATTGATTAATTAATACGTAGCTGGGAGGGGTGACATGCACCTGTAGTGCCAGCTATGTGAGTCTGACTTGAGAGGATCACATGGGTGTGCGGTGTCCAGGCTGCAGTGGGCTGAGATCCTGAGGCTCCTCTCCAACCTAGGAGACAGAGTAAGACCTATTCTCAGGAAACAAACAAAAATGAGTCACATTAGGTAAATTAAAACTACGCAGTGTGAGGAGAATCAAAATAAACGAAACATCATTACAGCCTACACGATCCGATGAAAGAAACAAGCTTTCACATAATAACAGCCCCAGATGGGGAGAACAATGAGAAAGGGCAGAGAGATAACACACCAAACTCCCCAGATGAGTTAAAAGACATAAATGTAGAAAGAGTGCTTCTTTTGAACTCAAAGCCCTTAATGACAAGTGCAAGTGTCTTTTTCTGAATCCCTGACATGCATTCAGCTCACCTGAACCTCTTGGTGAAGTTCTCAGACCACAGTTTGCCCTTTCTATATGCTCTCATTTTGTAATTTCCTATCACTTATCTGTAGCAGGTCACAACAAATCATGATTCTTTGACATTGTTTGACACAATGAAGAACTCAGATATGAGTTCATTAAACAATAGTTTATGACGTCATGAATAAATTCTGTTTGCATGATGTTTGTTAAAATGATAATACAAAATAAAAACAGAGGGAAAAGAACATTTTCTTTGTTTCATCATTGCGCTTGTGTTTATGCAGCATGTATCTATGAACTATAGCTGCCTCCTGGAAAATGATCCAACAGAATCCCTTGAAATTTCTCCTTCCGCTTTGGAGACCACAGGCATAACCCGCTTTTTCACATTTCCACCTTTTGGATACAATGAGTGGGATGAGTGGGATCCGTGTGACCTTTGCCTTTGCTGTAATGTCTAGTTTTTTGTTTTTTGTTTTTTCTTTTTTTTTTTTAACTCTGTCATTGCTAGATCAGCCTAAAATAAACAGTTCATTATGGCTCACAAAAAGAACTCATCTCCTTCAGCGGATATTCTTTATAAGAGGAATTTCATCCAGACATGAAAACGATAATCTGATGCCACTGCCAACAGATTGAGAATTACAAACTAAATTCAGATCGAGAATAGGAAGACAGATGATACAGATGGAGAGACAGTGGTGGGGAAGGAAGGGAAGGAAGAAAGGAAGGGTGTGAAGGAAGGAAAGCAATGAAGAAAGGGAGAGAGAGTGATAGATGTTCAAAGACAGAGATACAAAGTCGAGCATGGTTGTAGAGATAGGCGTGTACAAATTACCATGGGCAGTGTGGAAACATATCAGACAGAGAGTGACATAGGTGGAGTCAGAGAATAGAGACAAACCCATACAGAGAAATAAATATACGCAAATACAGACACACGGTTGGTAGTTTAAACCTGTCTGATTTTCTGTGACTGGATCTGTTTTTCCTTTAGTTCTTGGGCATAAGACCATGTTGAGTACTGACGTCCTGCATACTATAGTAACTATGTAGGAGTTCTGCTGTATTAGGTAAAGTGTGATGCTCCATCATATTCCACTCACCATCTGGGAGTCCCCTAGAGAAACACAAACACGTGTCAAAATGTATTTCCTCTGAGCCATACTTCAAAATGTTTTAATTTTAGGGCCTGCTGAGAAAAGACTACCCCTTCCCCATTTGTGATCTCTTAAACTTCCTCCTACCAGGTGCTACAAACTGTTCCCTGCAATATTTTCCCCATTCCCAGTATTCACTGTGACAGGAGTCAGCTAACAAGATTCATTGTATACTAAAAGCACACAGAAATCTGATGGGGCAATAGCTTAACAAAATGCAATGACCTAAACAGTCTTCTGTGGTTTGTGGCAAGGACAACAAGGAGGCACATTCAGGGAGCCCCATCTTAAGGAGTTGGTAGGATGGCTGCTGGTGGGGTTGATGGCCATGGAATCAAGTGCCACAAATTGAAGTGAATGATTCAACTTTACTTCTCAGTGAGTCTGGACATAGACTATGCTTCCCCGGGCTTAAGACTCCACAGCTATAACCTGCTTTGCAGTGTGGTATCTAATGTGCCTTTTTCAGCCCAATGCCGTTAATGTCCTGGATTCTGTCACTCTCTGTCTTTCTCTCAAGGAATTTCTACATGTATGAAAGGAGCCTCAATTTCTACATTTCTGAAATGAGCATCCAGGCTCCCTGAACAGGCAGGTATGTCAACCCCCTTACCCTGGGCACCAAATAGCTCCAGTTCCAACTTAACGGCTCATCTGAAATCTCTGTTCCCTCTTCAGGTGGCTTCATCTTCATGTAGTATTGCAGGGGTTTGTGCCACAGTTCCGTACATAAGCTCTATCAGGGGAATCAATTGGGAAAGGCCTCATCAGGGCTCAGACTGGTGACCCAAGCAGCTGGGAACACACCAGGGTCATTCCTAATGTTTCCCAGTGAGGACTCGCCTCAGCAATCCTGTTAGATCCTGTGAAGTTGCGGTCAGCAAACCAGTTGAAGAAGTTAAGGCTGCTGTTGTGGTGTCCCCAGCGATAGGGCTCAACATCATAATCCTGATACTGCTGAATTGGAGTGGAATAAGCCCTGTATTCTACAAAGAGAGGGTTTTGTGGGAAGGGGCCTGGATCATGTTGGCAATGACCCACACATCATCTTCCTTCCACTACCCATCTGGGGTGCCACCTCTCACCTGTGATGTTCACGAGATATTCCTTGGTAATCACTTTATTCTGAAGTAGGGGTTACTCCAAAAGAACAACATGATCTTGCAGAGATGAATGGGATGCTTCACTTCTTTCATCTGTCAGGACAAGGTGGAGAAAGCTTAAATACCTTTTCGGGTGAGGTGCCCACTGTTGCTTACAGGAATGAATTATTTCCTTTACCCTCCCCTACTAAACCCTCTAGCCTCAGTCTTCCCAGCCTCACCTCCAGGCTGACCATGTAGCTCAGCATGTCTTCATCTTGGTCAGTGATCAGGGCTGACATCTGGGGGTGGTTTGCAATCTGATTTAGGTCAAAGAGGCTTTACATGTGATGGAAGGAGAAGCTAGGAGCAACAGGGAAGAAGGCCTAAGAGCGCCCAGAGTCTGGGGTAGGGGATTTCTCAGAACTGCTTCCATGTATGACCTCCTTTTGCCTCCCCCTCCCCCTAAATTAAGGTCTTTTGGGCTTGCAGAGAGTGTCTAATTCTGAGGCTGACTGCACTGACATGGGGAGGTGCGATTTGCAGAGAGTTGCTGGTGTCTGCGGAGTGGCAGAATCAGCTTATAGGCGAAGACGCCCAGTCCCAGATCTGACTAGCAAGGGGGAGTAATCACACTCCCTTAACAATACCTTCATTCACAGAAAAACGTATTCTGGTCTGAACTCACTTCTGCTCTTCAAATGATGCCCCAAACGTCTGCTGCTCGGCATCACCAAGGGTTTCTCTGCCGCATGCAGGAAAACAGTACCCACGCCTGCTCCGGCTTTCTACAGCCTCATTTGTCTGTGGTAACTCACCTTTGTTCTCCAAAGAGTCATATCGACGATGAGCTGCCCATCAGTTACTTACACTTCCCCAAGAGCACCTCTCAACTGGAAAGGCAGAAAAAACACTGAGAAGGATACAACATTGGCCCAGAAGCCAGGGACGCTCTGGATGACGGCGCCTCTGCGGCCTAGGTGGGGCTTGTGCCTCCATTCCATCTTTTCCCTCTGGCGAGAAAAGGCCTTCCTGGCTTGGGCATTAACCGGCTCCAGCTCCACCTGAACGGCCACCAGCTCCTCCAGGGCGGACTCTGGGGTTATGGGCCCAGGGCCAGGCTGTGGCTTCTGGGCCTCCTCCTGCCCCTCCACGAGGGCCTCCTCCTGGGCCACCACCTCCACCTCTGCCATTATGTCATCCAACAGCAGCACCGCCTCCTCCCCCAAAGCCGCCTGCTCACTCTCCACCCCGGCCGCCCCCTCCTGTACAGCCTCCATCCTGAAGGCGGTGCCCTCCTCGGCACTCGCACACACCAAGGCCTGTGCTGCCCGACCCACGCCACAGAAACCCTGCCGCAGCCTCTCTGGCACCCGGTAGGTCAGCGAGCCCTCAGGGCGCATGCGCCAGGCTTCCAGGCGCCCCCTAAGGGACTGCGCGCGAAGAGCCGGGGGGCCGCACCCAGGCCGACTTCCTCCCGTCGTGGCCAATCAATGGGAGGGCGGTGGGCGTCTCCCTGGGCGGCACAGCCACTGGCGGGCCTGCATCTCCAGCCCCCCCACCCCCCGCCTTCCCTGCCCAAGCCTCCTCTGAGAAGCCCTTGGAGCTTGTGCCGGGTAGCTAGGCGTCCGGGCACACACGGGCTGCGTGGCCTTTGGAATTGTGGGCATGGCAGCCCTGTGCCCTGACATCCTCAGTGTGGCAAGCCATGAACATCTCTATGTGTCATGAACACAGGAAACATCTCTCTTCGTTAGGCAGGCCAGGTAGATGGTACGGAGGTAATACAGCAGATGCAGAGAACTCTCTCTGGTTGCTGGGGCTAGGGCGGCAGGGGTGTCCTGGGGGAAGTGATCGGGGCGGGCACGTGGGAGGAAAGTCGCCTGCCGGTGCTGAGGTGGAATTGATCTGCTGTAGAGGCCAGAGCCCCGGCACACACTCTCACAGGTCGAGGCAAATAGAGGCTCCGAGTACCATGCTTCCTCCCTGAGGATGCTGTACTCCAAGGAGCATTCCAAAGGGCCTCTTGTCCTATGCCCTGGGCACACCAGAGGCCAGCCGCCAGGGTTGGCCATTGTCGGCCTGCGCGCACGCTGTTGTGCGCTGCCTTGACGACCCAGAGGCTCCCGCACCCGCAGCAGCGGTTGCGGTGCCTGTTGGTGGGGCTCTGCAAGCCCAGGGCCGGGGCTCTGGCTCCCGAGCTCCTGTGCGCAGTTGAGCCTGCTGGGGACCGGAGCCCTTTGGCCAGTGCGGGATCTGCGGGTCCAGCGGAGGTCCTCAGGAAACCTGGGTCCACGTAGGTGTGGGACCAGGTTCTCAGCAGGGCGACGCCCGTGGGTCTTGCAGGGAGCGGGTCTGCTGGGGAGCGGGCCCCCAGAGCCTACGGGTGCGGGGCATGGGCTGGGCTGGGCTGGGCTGCGCAGGCCCAGGGTCTGTGGGAGCACCCAGGAGAAAACCGTGTTCAGGCTGGAGGCAATGCTGGAGAGGACGGCCGGGGTACAGAGCAAGGAGGCGGCCTTGGAAGAGGAGGCGGTGCTGAAGGTGGAAGACATCATGGCTGAGGTGGAGGTGGTGGTTGAGGTGGAGCCCGACGTGGGGTGGCAGAAGGAGGGCCAGCGGGCACAGCCTGGCCCTGGACCGAGCACACCGGGGCCGTCAATGGACTCGCTGGAGGTCCTTCACTTGGAGCTGGGCTCCGTGAATGCCCCAGGCCACAGAGCATCTCCGCCTTGTGAGCCAGAGCCATATCCTTGCGGCTGCCGATTTGGGATGGCGGGCAGCAGGGGATAGTCATCGGGCCTCGGGGGGTATGGGGGCTGTTTGGGGGGAGGAGCCAGGTGGGAGGCGCGTGGGGTCAGCCAGGAGGCAGGGGATGGGGGACAGCGTGGGAGCCGAGGCCACGTTCCCGCAGCTGTGAGGGCAGCTCGCTTGTAGCAGCCCTGGGAGCACGTGGTAGGGAAGGGGAGCCAGGGCCAGCACTGACAAGGGAGAATCGCAGCGCCAAGGTCCCTTTGCGCACAGCCCAAATTCGAAGGACACGTTTCCCTGGGAACGTCCCTGGAGGACGGGGAATCTGTATGCCATTACCAGCCATTGAACCACCCCTGCTCTCGGTGCCTGTTTCCAGCAGGCTCACCCCAGAAACACAAGGTGCTTAAGACGGGTTCGCGGCGCATGGGGCTGCCGACCACCTGACGGCGGGCACCAGCTCCGCAGATGCGCATTCATCCAACTGCAGGCGCTGCACTCAAAGGCGTGTAGGCCCTGAGCCTGTATAACTTCCTCTGGACCCACGCAATTCCCTTGGAGAGCGCCAGGCACGACCCTGCTGTGGCTTCTAACTACAAGGCTTCCCTCAGGTGGACAGGCCCACCCCTCAGGGAGACTAGGATAAGAGGACACCACACACCCGGACATCAGCGGAGCATGTCCAGCACCCAGCACACAAAGGCCTCCTGCATCTCAGAAACCCAGAGAAGCAGCCGCCTCACACCACCCCCGGCCCCTCCCGTCCCTCAGCTGCAACCACCTGCCCACTTTTTCTGCGTCCCGTCTATGGTCAGCCCAGGCCGTCTTGGCCGGTGTCCACCCACTCCAAAAACCACCACAGTTGTGGCGTTGCCTCCTCGCCAGACAGAGATAGAGGGCCAACAATGAAGGGTGACTGGCCAAATGTCTGGGAGATGGCCCTGTTCCACATTGTCTGTGTTCTTGCGAAATTGCAAGGCGTCACGAGGCTTGCCCACCCAATCCTCTGGAGAGTTCTTGCGCAGAGGTAGATTGTTTGGCACACGAGATGTCGGCGTGGGTCGGAAAGCATGCGGAAGTCCTGCTTTGCTACGTGATGGATTTGCAGGTCAGGCTGGGGAGCCTGGGTCTGTGGGAGGAGTCCAGTGTCTGAGTCAGTTTGAGGTCCCCCTGGGGACCAGGGTTGTCTCAGTGGGAGAGCTGGGAAGGGGAAACTCATGGTTCACTACAGCTAGTAGGCCACCTCAGCCCAGCTAGCTGAGATGGTCCCATTGAATCCATCCTCTTTCTCCTTGATCTGGCAGGTGGAGGAACTCAGCCATCCCGGTTACCGGTGGCAGGATGATTTCCTTTCATCCCAACCTTTATTTCCACAGTGAAATCATCATGAAGGAGCACTGTGTTGGCATCCTCGGTAAGGAATGCCTGCCAGCATGGTAGGGGAGCTGGTGTGTGGGAGGGTGGGACTGGCATGAACCTTCCTGACTCCTCTCCCTGCAGGCTACAGGGTGTCTCATTCCACTGCAGTCCAGCGGTTCTGGGATCACGAAGGTCAAGCCTCCAGCTGCAGGCAGTACACCTCCTACCTGAGCTCATTCAGCTGTTTGGCTGAACATGACTGCCCGGGTTTTGGCAGGATTGCTGAGGTGGGGTTCGCCGTGGGGCATCATGGGAAAGGACCTAGCTGGTCATTCCTTGGTCTCTGGGGAATTGGCTTTAAACTGTCACCTGAACTGTCCTGGACCCACTTCTGCAGTCCCCTAGATCATCAGCCAGGGCCTATGGCTCAATCCATTGCAGTTCTATCCCATGGAGAGAGGGTCAGCCCTAGAGGCGGAACAGAGAGGAGGCCAGGCGAGCAGCCTAGGGCTGGGAAGGGCTGGGAACTGAGAGGCCTTTTGACCTGGATCTGGGCCCCACATGGAGAACCCAAGGATCCGGGAGGAGACTGCAGTGAGCAATCCCAGGCAATCCGTGGGTTGGGGGAGAGAGGCCCATCAGGGACATGTAACACCCACATTTCAGGATCGGGGCACCTTAAGCCACTATGATGCATATGTGGCTAAAGTCAGTGGGTGACAAGCAGGGCTTAAGGGATAGCTGTCTCATCATTACTCGCCAGCTCCCTGCCTGCGGTAAGACCTGCTACCACCTGGGGCTCATTTTGAGATCAACCAGGGCCCCCTTTTTCTCCACGAGGATGTCCACCTGAGGCCCACCTAGGTCTGTGTCCTTTCACAGTGTTTCTCCCAGGCCATTCATGTTTTGTTTCCATGACCCCGGCTGCCTTGACATGTGTAATCCTCTCTGCCATCCTCACTCCCGCTGCCCTGCCTTCCCATATAAGTTAGTCCACCTCACACGGAATCTGGAGGACCACACTGGGCTCCAGTGTGAGGCAATGTTTTATTTTCTTCAGGTACATGTATTTTAGGGCTACCTTCAGGGCTGGGAATGTGAAGAGATTGCCAAATGGCTGGGGACCTTCAGTGTGTGTCCAGGGAGGGAACCTGGCTGGGAATTAAGGCCCACCTGAGTAATGGTATGGACATCCAGTGTCAGTTATCTTGATAAAGGCCTGCTTTCTTACATCACCTACTATTAGTATAAAAGTTAATTCCTTAGAATATTGAAAAAACAAATCTATGTATGAAGAAATATAATTTGTTCATAATTGTATGGAAAAAGCTGCCGACTGATCCATTTTCCATTACAATTCTTATGGGAGACTTGAAGGGTTTAGCAAGTTTTAAGATGCATTTCTATTCGTCTACTCCTGCCAGTTTTTATGATCATTTTTGTAATACAAGGACATGGCCTCTGGAAAGTTTTTGAGGGACTTTCAGCTTCTTTTAGGGTAGATAGTTGTAAATTTTGAATTGTTTTCCCCTGCGGTTCTTTTGAGGTTACTCTTTGTACTTTCTTTGGGGGGTGTTAAATTTGTTTTCTTGTTTCGCCCTTGTGGAACTTTCGTTTTCAAGGAATTTTGTGTGTGTGCGTGTGTGTGTGTGTGTGTGTGTGTGTGTGTTAGATATGGGAGTTAGCCTGTGAGCATGTTTTCGAATACGGATTTTTTTTTTACTTATCAATTTTGGGTGTGTGTGTGTGTGTGTGTGTGTGTGTGTGTGTGTTTGTTTCTTTTCAGTTGGAGTCTCACTGTGTCATCCAGGCTGCAGTCAAGTGGCAAACTCTCAGATCACTGCAACCTCTCCCTCCAGCTTCAAAGGATTCCTCTGCCTGCTGATGCTGTTTTTCCCCCACATGAGGAGAACCTGCAGACAGTTATAAAAAATTCTGTGCCTGGGTAGGTATGAAAATATAATTTCAATGAATGGTAAATTTCACAAATACAGTTTCACATTTGTATTTTGCATCATTTTGAAAATTTTAGTTGCTGACACATGAAATTCTGTATTGACTTTCATGTTAAATGTACACTTTTGAATCAATTTCAACAGTGACAACTAGCGAAGGCCAAGCGTTAGTTCAGGAAGCTGAAAGCAGTCGTTCTGTAAAAAAAAAACCATATTTATTGAAGGTATATTTAGAGAGATTTTAGAAGGCTTCAGTCAATATTTTTGTTTCTGTTGCTCTGGTGTTTTATCATACAGGGACCAGACTGTAGCATCAGTAGCTATAGTTACAAGGCTACCAAAGACTCAGTGCTATAGAAATTATTATTGTGGAAATTGGCAGCCTGGCTGTCTGTTTGAGGAGACTAGAGGACTTAGGAGTTTCCACCCAAAGTACAAGGGCCTGGTTTAGTGGGTGGCCTTCTTTTGCTGAAGTAGATAAGATCCAGGAGAAGGGTGGATTCACTGTAGTAGCCAGGGCTTTGAGACTGGTAAAGCTTATTTGTCCCCTAGTGCCATTGCCAGATATTGGTCTGTGCATAAAGGCACTTCCTGGACTCACTGACGCCTGTAAATTCAAATGTAGAATTTAGATTTAAATCCCTATTCCAACTTCTTAAACTTAGATCTAATAGGTGGGTAATAAAATATGTATTCAGAAGAAAGGGAGACGTCAGGTAGGTATATAAGCAAATCATCCTGGTCAAATACCTTCAAAAATATTACTACAAAAAATTACTGAAGATTAAACCTTAAAAAGTTATTTTAATTGGAGAAACAGAAAAAGGTTGGAGTCATTTTAAACCCTGAGGTGTAAAGGTACTGTTATTAGATTACAGGAATTATATACAATGAATAATTTGTTGGAAGAGCAGCATACTATCTCTTTAGTATGGCTAGAGATTCATAAGCCGTGTAAGAAAACTCAGAGATTGAGAAGAAAATGTTTTCAGGGATTTTGTTCTGTTATGAAAGACTTTTAAAATGGTTTCCTACTGATCAATGATTCACTTATATTTATCACTGAGGCATATGCTATATACCCTTCTATATAGGGATGAAGTTATAGTTTCTATCATGTAGATACAAAAACATGTGACTCTGTACCACATTTGCATTAGAGCCTTTGGCATGATTAATGAAGCAAACAGTGGAACTGTCTACGTCAGGTTACAGGTGGGCACAGCTGGAAGCTTCTGTCCCTTGCACTTTAACATTTCTGCATTCTCATCTGTCTCTCCTGGAAAGAAAACGGACTATAACTATCCTAAAGGACATATGTTACATGAAGACACTAAGTATTGAGATAAGACCATGAGTTGTCTTATCAGTGTCTTGGCATTACATTTATATGTATAACTTATACAAAAAATCCAGTTTATTTTATCACGATTACATATTACATCCCACATTTATGTATTTTATTATCTTTCCAGTGACTGTTTTGTTTTGTTTTGTTTTGTTTTGTTTTGAAATCTCGTTCCACTCTGTCACTCAGTCTGGAATGCAGTGGCCTGATCTCAGCTCATTGCAACCTCCATCTCTTGGGTTCAAGGATTTTAAAAATTAGTAAAGAATTTTCAATTGAGTTAGCAGAAGTAAAAATAAACTTAAGTGGAAATAGAACAACAAAATTGTAAACACTATTTCTCAGCAATTCATAGATTATCATACTAGGAATTGAAATGTACTTAGAACTCAATGATACCGCCAATATTAAAGATTAAATCTGTGAGTAGCAAGAAAAGTGATATTACAATAGGAGTTTACAGACAAATATTTCTCTAATAACTTGAAAATTAATGTACTAGATATTTCAATAAAGAATTAGAAAAGAAACAACAGAATCAATTCTGAAAAACTAAAGTGTGGGAATAATGATGTAGACAAAATTAGTAAAACATACAAAGCTAACCTTTGCTTGTTGGAGAAATATAATAAATGATGCAACCGTCAGTCAAGTTTAGAAAAAAAGGGAGAAAACATAGATAAAACTAAGAATTTAAAAGGTACACAACCATAGATACAGCATAGATTAAGAAGCTAATAAGGAAATATCATTAACACCTTAACCTACAAATTTGAAAACTTAGATCAAATAGACAGATATTTATAATCTGTCTATATATATAGACATATATATCGCTTTCTATATATATTTTCATATTTATACATAATTTTTATATTTGTATCTTACATTTATATATATAATATATAAACATAAGCTATGTATATAGCTTAGTAAAATTGATACAAGAAGACATATATAATCTGTATAGTCTCATAAATGTTCAAGGAAATAAAGGATTCTTCCTAGAGATAAAACGCTAGGCTCAGATTTTTTTCCCCAGGCAGAGCATTTCAATATATATGAAGAATTCTATAGAATAAAAAAGGGAAAATCCTAAACTCATTGTGTGAAGCAAGCAGAACTTTGACGCCAACAAGACATAAACTGAGTGTAGAAAAAGATATGAAAATTAAGGCCATTCTCATTCCTGAAGCAAATCGTAAAATCCCAAATGTAACAAGATTTATGTGGATTCTTTGAGGGTTAGAAGGAAATTTCCTTCTGCCAGATCCTGCTGCTCTGGGACAACCCACACACAAATTTATGTTTTGAGATTTTCTGTAATACCCATGCAATATGGAACTGGCTTGACAATCTGTGTGATAGCCAGCCTGTGGCCATGACTTCTCAGGGACACAAATCTTTTCTGTTTGCCTCCTTGTTCTGCTCAGCTCCAAGAGAACTTTGACCAAAGTTCCTTGAGCTTGGAAATAGGAATGGGTTTGCTTCTGTTTCACCCTTACTGTGAAGATACAGTCCGGTGGAATCCAGATCCACTGGGAGAGAGTCGGCTATTAAACTCTTTTCATGAGTAGTCCCTAGGCCTTGACTGGAGTCTTTCTTGAGATATGAGGCTAATAGTTCCTTCTTGGTCCACCACTTTTTGATATAATTAATGCTTCTTCTATTGGGAATTTTTAATTGTTTGGGAAGTGACATGGTTTGGTGTGTCTCCATTCAAATCTCAGCTTCAATTGTATCTCCCAGAATTCCCTCGTGTTGCGGGTGGGACCCAGGGGGAGGTAATTGAATCATGGGGGTCGGTCTTTCTCATGCTATTCTTGTGACAGTGAAGAAGTCTCACGGGATCTGATGGGTTTTTCAGGGGTTTCTGCCTCAGGTTCTTCCTCATTCTCTCTTGGCATTGCCATGTAAGAAGTGCCTTTATTCGTATACCATGATTCTGAGGCCTCCACAGCCATGTGGAACTGTCAGTCCAATTAAACCTCCTTTTATTCCCAGTTTCAGGTATGTCTTCTTCAGCAGCGTGAAAATGAACTAAGACAGGAGGTTTGGTCCAAATAACCTTGGCTTCCATGATAGAAGATAGAAGTTGCTGAAATGTTTAATCTTTTCTGTGGCAACCTTTTGCAGTGGGTCTTATTTTTCTCATTTTTTTTTTCTTGTTCTCTTCACCTTTCTTTCTCACAGGGTACTCTCGCTCTGTAGACCAGGCTGGAGCGCAGTGGCAGGATCTCAGCTCAACACATCCTCCGCCTCCCAGGTTCAGCCTCTGCAGTAGCTGGGATTACAAGCATGCATCACCACGCTCAGCTAATGTTTTGTATTTTTAGTAGAAGCCAGGCTTCACCATGTTGGCCAGGCTGCTCTCCTACTACAGATCTCAGGTGACCCGCCCGACTCAGCTTCCCAAAATCCAGAGTGCTGGGAATACAGGTGTGAGCCACCGAGCCCAGCCAACTCCAGTATTTTTTACCTAAGCCAGTGGACGAGTGGAGTTGCCTTTATTTTTTTTTTTCTTTTTTCAGTCATGGTCTCGCTGTGTCATCCAGGCTGGAGTGCAGTAGTCTGATCTTGGCTTACTATACAATCTCTGCCACCCATGTTCAGGTGGTTCTCCTACCTCAGCCTCCCAAGTAGCTGGGACCACAGGAAAGTGCCACTAGGTCTGGCTAATTTTTGTATTTTTGGTAGAGACAGCTTTTTGCCATGTTGCCCATGCTGGTCTCCAACTCCTGACCTCAAGTGACCCACCAACCTCGGCCTCCCAAAATGTAGAAATTACAACAAGAGCCACGAAGCCTGGCCTGGAGTTGTGGCTTTTTGACATAAGAAATCTGTGGAGGGAAAAGCTTGGTTTGTGGGAGCACCTGAGCTCAGTTTGGCTCAAAGGTTTGGGATACCTATTATTGAGTGGCAGTGATGGTATGTTGTTAATGCACAATATGTTCCTGTATATAGCATATGTCTATGCTCATCAGATATTTTCAGGTAAAAAAAGATAGTCATTCCAGTAGTTTGAGCCATTATAGCAATTTCCACCAGGGGATTTCACAGTCCAATTCCAGTTGTGGGCAACAGTGATTAACATAATGGTAATTAATGAGAAGAGATTTTGAGACGTCCAGCCACGTTTCCATGTCAGTGCCTTGTTTGCAGTATTATGAAGAAAGAGTGCATTGGACTAGATACTAAGAAAAACATTGAATTATTTTTCTTGCCTCTATAACATCAAAGGACAATTAGAGATATAGAAACTATGGAACATTTCACAGCATGGCTTGACATTTCACTGAACTTTTATCCTTTTAACCATGTACAAAGTTTGTTACCTATGCAAAGGTAGGACTGCAAAAGGAAGACAGAGGTGGAGTCAGAGGTCACAATCCACAGCAAGGTGACACTCTTGTTGATCGCACCTTGAAAGCCAAATTAGAGCGAGAATTAACTTTCCGGTTGCCGTAAGAGAACAAGGAGAATGAAGCTACCAGCAGTTAACAGTATTGGATTAATTGAAATGAAGGTGGACAGATTTTTTTGGCTTTCCATCAAATTGAGTAAAGAAAAGGTAACCGCTTATCTAATTTCACACACATACAATTATGGATTAATTAAAAGATTACACAACCCATATATTATGGGTTTCTCATATAAGTGTATATATACATGGGCAAACTCACAGTGTGCCAGTATGTGTCTATATCCAAATATATACAAATCCATGTCCAACAGTTAGCAAGTGAGAAATTCTCTTCCATTTCACCATTCCCTTTCCTAGAATTTTTTCATAAATATAATTTTTCCATATATTTGAAGCCTACTCTCTGGAGGCATGTAATGCATGCATGCAGTAAACCTGTGCGATATCACAATGTTGGTGTCAGAGAAAACTATAACACCGATGTTATAAAAGATTAATTGTGAGGAGAAAGTTATGCTTCGCATTACTACAAATACACAAGTATGATTTCATCCAAAGCTGAAATCAGTCAATATAATTTGTTTTTAATGTTTTATTTAAAATCCTTAATTTCAACAGGATTACTCAAGAAAAATAACGTTATTGGTATTAAATAATGTTGATGTATTCCCTTTAATTGTTGATTATTTAAAATGTCAGTAAAGTAGTAAATGGCACTGTACAATGTAGTTTCATGAAGCATTCTTTATACTTTTCATAAAATTGATAGTCTCCATGGAATATTTTAAGACTGAGGAAGTTCCATATATCATTTGATTGTACTTTCACTTTATTACTTGCTTGCATGTCATAACTGATGGAAATAAAACTATGTATATTTACAAATATGAAAAACATGGATTTTTGTTTACGTTTTCTAGTGAGACAGTTACCAATAATTTTATCTATATAGGAAAATTTTTACAAACCCAAAGTTCTAATGTTTCTTTTCTTTGAAGTTTCGTATTTCAGTCTAGGTATGTAATGGAATTGGCTGTGATCATTCTTTGATTTCAGTGTTATTTGTGAGTTTCTGATATGCTTTTAGGAATGTATAGAGTTTAACGCTTGCTTTCTTCTTCTTCCTCTACCTTTGGACCTGTATATGCGATGTCTGCAGTAATGTGCAGTGCTATCTGACATACGGTTGCTGAAAGATACAAGCATATATAGAATTCTTCGTTTCAGTGAATCTTTAGGAACAGACAAGTAACCTGAGAGATAATTACGGTATGAATGTAAGCAAGCAGTTTATCATAGAGGTACAATAAGGGTGAAAATAAATTTAAAAATACATGCCTCATCCAAAACATGAGGTAGTAAAAATGAAAAATTTAAGTTGGCATAAAGAACACTTTAAAAGTTCTGATTCTTTCTGGTGAGAGCAAGGAGCTCAGAAACCATGAGAAAGTCCTTCAAAGCTGCATGTTGGATTTGCAGGTCAGGATGGAAAGCCTGGGTCTGGGGGAGGGTGCTAAGGTCCTGGTCAGGTTGAGGTCCTTCTGGGGCTCAGGTGTGTCTCAGCGGGAAAGCTGGGAAGGGGAAACGCATGCTTCACCCCGGCTAGAATGCCACCTCAGCCCACCTAGATGAAATTGCCCCTTCACAGCCCTGTTTCTCCTTCTTGGACAGGCAGGTGGAGGAACTCGGCCACCCTGAATACAAGGGGTAGGAAGAAGTTTGCCTTTCATCACAACATTTACTTCGGAAACAAAGTGATGACTAAGGAGTATTGCGTTGGCATCCTCCCTGAGGAGTAGAGGGGGTAGTACCTCGGAAGCTGGGCCTGGCGTGCGCCTTCCTGACTCGTCTCCCTCCAGGATACAGGGCGACTGGCTCCACTGCAGTCCAGTGGTTCTAGGGTCATGCAGGTGAAAGCCCGAGTTTCCCGCAGGTCACTGCCTGAGCTTCTTCAGCTGGTTGTCTGACTGTGAGGGCCCAGGTTACGGCACGATTGCTGAGGTGGGGCAGCTATGGGGCATCATGGCAAAGGACCTTCTTCGACATTCCTTGGCATCGGAGGAATTGGCTTTGAACCAGAACCTGACCTGTCACGACCAATTTGCCCAGTCCACCAGATCATCAGCCAGGGCCTGTGGCTCTATATTCTGCAGCACTACCCAAGGGAGTTAGGCCCTCAGAGAGGGAACAGAGAAGAGGCCAGGGAAGCAGCCCAGGGCTGGGGGTTGACAGGCCTGTGGGTCCTGGAGTTAGGACACACATAGAGAAGCCAAGGCTCAGGGAGGAGACTGCAGTAAGGAAACTCAGGCCATCATGGGCTGGTGGAGAAATGCCCATCAGGGAACTGTGGTACCCACATTTCACGATGGGGGAACCGTAATCTGCTTAATAGGCATAAGTAGCTAAGGTCAATGGGTGGGAAGCCAGGGTCAAGAGATAGCTGCCTCATCATCCCTTGCTAGCTACTTCCCTGTCCTGAGGCTTGCTTCTACCTGGGGTTCAGTTTGGGCTCAACCAGGGATCTCTCACCCTCCACACAGATGCCCACCTGAGGCCTCTCTAGGTCTGCGTCCTCCCAGAATGACTCTCCCAGGCCTGCTAAGTACCGTTTGGATGACACCACGCTCCACTGACATGCTTGGTTCCCTCCGCCATCCTCATTCACCCAGCAACTCCCCACCCCAAAAAAGGCAGGCCACCGCACAGGGAATCTGGAGGACCACACAGGGCTCACAGGGGAGGAAATGTGAAGAGATGGCAAAACAGAACAGGACATTCCGTGTGTTTCCAGAAGGCAATCTGGCTGGATATTAAGGCCCACCTCAGTATTGGTGAGGACACCCAGTGTCTCTTGGCCCTGAGCATGTGCACACAAACACGCACATTGTCTAAACGGCATTGACATCACTACTACCTGAGTCATCCTCAGATTCTATACAACCCCTGTAAAAATATCAATGACACATTCTTCTTAGAAAAACAATCTGGGAATCCCAAATTTGCTATGAAATGGCAGAAGATCCTGAAAACCCAGAGCAATCCAGTAAAAAGCACAAAGCTGGAGCCACCACACTACCTAACTTCATGATATACTACTACAAAACTTTTTGTACCAAAATACAATAGCACTGGCAGAAAAGCAGAGACTAGAGCTTAGGAAAAACAACAGGAGCCCAGAACTAAGTCACTGCATTTGCAGCTCACAGCCTTTTCCCAAAGAAGCAAGAACGCCCAATGCAAAATCAAGTATCTTCTATAAACTAGGTTGGGGAAATCTGAATAGCCACACAAAGGATTTTACAAGTGGATTATTTATCACCAAACTCCAGTGTCAGATGTGAAACGATAAAAATAGCAGAAGAGATCACAAGGAAGAAGCTCCATGGCGTCCGTGTGTGCAATGATGGTCTCAAAGTGACTGCAAGAACACAGTAAACACCATCAAAAATAGAGAATGGAATCATATCAAACTAAAGTGCTTCACCACACCATAGAAAACTCAACATACAGAAGGGGCATCCTACAGGATGGGAGCAATGATTGGATCACCATACATCTGTTCATGGGGGAATAGTCACAGTACATAAGGAACTCCCAACAACTCAATAGCATGAAAACAAATGGGCGAAGGCTGCGAAGACTCATTTGTGAAACTGAGACTTACAGTTGCCCAGAAGACACACTAAAAATTCCTCATTATCCCCAATCCATCACGAAAATGCAAATCAAAAACACAATGAGATTTCTTCTCACTTCAGTCAGAATGCATATTATCCGAAAGACAAACAAACAAAAAAAAAAAAAGAAAGAAAAGAAAACCCTAATCTCTGGTGAGGAGGCAGAGAAAACGAATTCCCTGCTCACTTTTGGGGAGAATGTAAATTAGTGCTGGCATTAAAGAAGCTTTATGGCTCTTATTTAAGTATAAACAGTCTTCAGAAATCTACAAGTAGAACCACCCACTATATGATCCAGCAAATCAGAATACCCGGGCACGCCCGCCAGTACACAGATCAGTATGTCGAAGCGGTGCGCGCACCCATGCAATTATTGCTGCACTCATTACATTTTTGCTGTAGCCAAAATACGGAAGCAACCTGAGTGTCCCTCCATTGATAAGTGGATTAAAAAATGGGGCAAAAACGCATATGCGCAACGGAAATATGCGCTGCAGTAAGAAATCAGGAAATCCTGCCAGTTGTGAGAATGTGTGGGAATCTGCTGAATGTGTGCATGCCATTCTGTTAAGTGACATAAGCCAGGTATCAGAAAGGAAAATAGCACATGATCTCATTCTTATATGAAATCAAAAAAGCGGACTTCACAGAAGTAGTGACTCCAATGACTGCGGTGAAGAGGGTGCACTGACGAGATGCTGGATGAAGAACTCATACTTCTAGTTATAAAGGAGGAATAGGTTAAAAATATTTTCTTCAGCATGCTCACTATAACTAGTGGTAACATATTCTTTCTCTAAAAATATTCGAATACAGTGCAGGTCAAGTTTTTTCACAACAAAAATGACAACTATGTGAGGTCACACATATGTTGATTGGCTGGATGTATCCAATGCATAATGTATATGACCTGTTGAACATCACGCCTTAAGTTGTAAATATGTATCATTTCATATGACGTTTTTTAAACAAACATACAGTTTTTAAAATGCCTTAACAAAATAAATGCAAATACAATATTTTACTATAAAGCAGTGCTTTTCTTTTCTAGCAAAGTCTTTTTCATGACACAGGAAAGAATGCAAGCCATTTCGTAACTTGAGAAATAAATACATATGTGTACATGTATATATATACGTATATACATGTATATATGTATATAAATGTGCGTATATACATGTATATATGTATATAAATGTGCATATATACTTATATACATGTATATACGTATATATGTGTGCATATATGTATTTTTATATAGGTATATATATATATATATATATATATATATGAAAATCCCAATGAATGCTGATGATGAGTTGAAAGATAGAAATTCCAGGCACAGAGACTATAGTCCATGAATTGAAACCTTCAGTGCATGTTTCAAAACAAGACGTGAGGAGGAGGAAGAAAAAAGCAAAAAACACAAAGCCATGGCAGGGCCATGGGTCACACCTGTCATCCCAGCACTTTGATAAGCTGAGGTGGGAGGATTGCCTGCACTCAGGAGTTCCAGATGAGCCTGGGGCAACATGGACCCACATTCAAAAAGTAAGTATTTAGTTAATTAATACATAGCTTGGAGGGGTGGCATGCACCTGTACTGCCAGGTGTGTGAGAGTCTGAGTTGACAGGATCACATGGGTGTGTGGTGCCTGGGCTGCAGTGGGCTGAGATCGTGGGGCTGCTGTCCAACCTAGAAGACAGAGTAAGACCCATTCTCGGAAAACAAACAAGAAAACAGTCACATTAGGTAAATTAAAACTATGTAGTGTGAGGAGAATCAAAATAAACGAAACATCATTAGAGCCTACGCGATGTGATGAAGGAAACCAGCTTTCACATAATAACAGCCCCGGCTGGGGAGAACAATGAGAAAGGGCAGAGAGAACCCTGTAAATAATAACAAGCCAAATTCCCCAAATGAGTTAAAACACATAAAAGTACGAAGAGTGCTTCTTTTCAATTCAATGCCCTTGAATTCAGAATTAGAAAGTAAACCCAGATAGAGAATAGAAAGATAGACGATACAGATGGAGAGAGTGTGGTGGGGAAGCAAGGGAAGGATGAAAGGAGGGGTGTAAAGGAAGGAAAGGAAAAAAGGAAGGGAGAGAGAGTGACAGATGTTCAAAGACACAGATACAAAGTCTACAATGGTTGTAGAGATAGGCATGTGCAAATTGCCGCAGGGAGTGTGGAAAAATATCGGAACCACGGAGACATAGGTGGAGTCAGAGAAAATATACAAACCCGCACAGAGAAATAAACATACGCAACCACAAACACACACGTGCTACTTTAAACACGAAAAGACACCAAGTCCCTGTCGGTACAAATCACAGATGTGCTTCCGAGTTACTGAGGCACGGTGCAAATTTGTCAGTGCCCTTAGCATCTGTGGCCCACGTGCACGGATATTCAGTGGAAGAAGCATTACACAGCCTGTATAATTCAGCACGATCTGTGATAATACCAGAAGAAGGGATCTCATGTGAAATCACTAGACTGAATTGCACGTAGGATTCAAGGAAGAAGCCCAGTCTGCTGCATTCACTCGGTGGGGTGGCAATATGGCTGAGCCACCAACCCGTGGCACACCCATCCATCGTAGACAGTTCCTGGTTTGCTACCTGCCTTGGAAAAAGCTCCTCCCCTACCACCACTTTAAAACAGGCTAGCTCCAAAACTAGCCCTGGCATCTATTTACGGTCATTTTCTTATCTATTTACCTCCTAGAAAAATCATTGCAAGACCCTTTCCTCAACATTTTCCTATGCCTTAAATTTGGGGCAACACGTTTTAAGACGACCTCGTTATAGGCAAGTCCCCAGACGTTTCCTAATCTGAGTTGCCCAGAGTGCACACACCAATCTGTTGCCCCATTGCCGCTATAGGGATACCGTACTGGACCACAGTGTCTTTGACATGCACACAGTAGGATAGAGGGCAGCTTGAGGGGGCCAAAGGGTTCCGACTGTTTTCAGAATAATTTGCTTAGAACACCTGTTTCTCCTGTGTTTGTGGGTCAGGGGGACGGTAGTCAGAGGAGGACAAGACTCCCGCTCCAGAGCTTCAGAGGTCTGCATAGGAGCAGGGACAAAACCGGGCGATAGATTTTCAAAGCTCAACTGCTTTGACACCGAGCAGGAGGGGTAGAATGCATATTGCAGGCACCACAACAGATTCAGGAACTTTGACTGTCAAACCCTCTTCCCTGAAACAACATAGCTCTTCTCACAGAAGCTGTGCTGACCAGAGTCTATACGGGACAGCAATGTTAGCACTCTAGTAGCGTGTGGTCAACATGGATGCTCGTGTTGGAACTGTTTCATCTGGGAACAGGAAAGAAAGTTCTGCCTCCGACACTGAAATCCTCCTGCCCCATCCTTGACAGAGGCAACCCCTTGTCTTGTGCAGACACACGTGTTCCTGGGAAGCAGCCTCCCACTCGCGAATGAAAGCTGTATGTTTTGTCCTCCTGTGTGAGGCTTGCAAAACATATTCCGCAACTATATTCGCTTTACGTTCTAAACCTTAGGCAAACTATGCTGAAGAGGCCACAGAAAATTTAGGGGCCCTGGGCTCCAGATACAATCTGCAGTGCCAATCACGAGGGAGAACAGAGCCTCACTAGACTTTGCAAGAGCACAAAATGCACTCGTACTGTTGTTAGCTACATACGTTATTGGCTCCTCACCTAACACAGAATCTTGGAGAAAAGCTTAAAACAACTAAAGATGTAAACATCAACAAGAGTGTCCATATCCTGGGTCATCAAGTGACAAGAGAGTCCATGGATGGATTCTCCAACAATCTTATATTCCACTAATCCACCCCCTTTCCCCTCACTTCTGTAAGTTTCTGTTTTCCCTTAGTCATCTATGCCAAAAGCGTATCCTGAATGCCTTCCCACATGCCTCTGTCACCTTTCCCACAGTCCCTCCATACACCTTACATGCCCATTTCTTCTCACGTTGATGTTTTAGAAGTCCTGAGAGGCTGATTGTCCCAGAAAAGGATCATGCATTCACCTTTAAAAGAACATGTGGATTCAACACGAAAGCGAACTTTAAGATTTCCATCATCCTGTGCTTAGCTACTGTGTATGATGATACCCAAAATGAAGGATTTTGGAGGTCCCAGCAAACTGGGCCCTGGAAACCCAGTAACCCCATTCCTTGAACTATCTCTGCTTCCATAGGACGAAGTCAGCCTCCAACTAAGCTGTCTTTTGCTTTTACCTCTCCCACTCTGTCCTGTAGGAAGAATCCCAACACATCCCACACCCATTCACTCTACAACTTTAGAGGCCCAGCTCCAACGCAGACTGGTTATTTCCATGAAGAGAATAAAGCACGTGGATTGATCAATTCATTATGACACCCGAATAAAGTGGATAAACATACACACACACACACACACACACACAAACACAAAGACACACACACACACACAGACACAGAGTCACACATCCTTGAGAATGTTTATTTTTCATTCCATACAATCCACATTTACCCCCTCTTCCTGAATTTTTGTGACTCGATCTCTTTTTCCTTTAGTTCCTGTGCATAAGACCATGCTGAGTACTGCTGTCCTGCATATGGCTGTAACTTTTTAGGAGTTCTGCTGTATTAGGTAAAATCTGATGCTCCATCATATTCAACTCAACAACTGGGAGTCCCCTAGAGAAACACAAACTCATGTTAAAACGCATTTTCTCTGAGCCATACTTTGAAATGTTTCAATTGTGGGGCCCGCTGAGAAAAGGATATCCCTTCCCCATTTGTGATCCCTTAAACTTCCTCCTACCACGTGTTACAAACTGTTCTGCGCAATCCCTGCCCCATTCCCAGTATTGTCTGTGAGGGGAGTCAGCTAACAAGATGCACTGGGCCCTAAAAGCACACACAAGTCTGATGGGGCAACAGCTTAAGGAAATCCATCAATCTAAACAGTCCTTTGTGGTTTGGGGCAAGGATGACCAGGACGCACATTCAGGGAGCCCAATCTCATGGGGTTGGTGGGATGACTGCCGGTGGGGTTGACAGCCGTGGAATCAAGTGCCACAGACTGAACTGAATGATTTTCAGCTTTACTTCTCATTGATTCTGGAAATGGACGATTCTTCACTGGGCTTAAGACTCCACAGCTATCACCCGCTTTGCAGTGCAGTCTCTAACGTGCCTTTTCAGCCCAATGCCATGAACGTCCTGGATTCTGTCACTCTCTGTCTTCCTCTCAAGGAATTTCTACATGTACGAAAGGAGCCTCAATTTCTACATTTCTGAAATGAGCACCCAGGCTCCCTGAATAGGCAGGTGTGTCAACCCCCTTATACTGGGCATCAAACAGCTCCAGTGCCAACTAACGGCTCACCTGACGTCTCTGTTCCCTCTTCAGGTGGCTTCATCCTCTTGTAGTATTGCAGGGGATTGCGCCACAGGTCCTTACATAGGATCTGTCAGGGGACTCAATCGGGAAAGGCCTCATCAGGGCTCAGAAAGGTGACCCAAGCAGCTGGGAACACACGGGGTCATTCCTCATGTTTCCCAGTGAGGACTCACCTCAGCAATCTTGTTAGATCCTGCGAAGTTGTGGTCAGAGAACCAGTTGAAGAAGTTAAGGCTGCTGTTGTGGTGTCTGCGGCGATAGGCCTCCACTTCATAATCCGGATACCACTCAATTGGAGTGGAATGAGAAGCCCTGTATTCTACAGAGACAGGAGTTTTTGTGGGAAGGGGGCTGGATCCCGTTGGCAATGATCCACCCACCATCTTCCTTCCACTACCCATCCTGGGAGCCACCTGTCACCTGTGATGTTCACCAGATATTCCTTGGTAATCACTTTATTCTGGAAGTAGGGGTTACTCCGAAAGAACAACATGATCTTGCAGAGATGAACACGATGCTTCTCTTCTTCCACCTGTCAGGACAAGGTGGAGAAAGCTTAGATAGGTTTTCGGGTGAGGTGCTCACTCTTGCTTACAGGAATGAATTATTTCCCTTACCCTCCCCCGCTAAACCCTCCAGCCCCAGTCTTCCTGGCCTCACCTCCAGGCTGACCATGTAGCTCAGCATGTCTTCATCTTCGTCAGTGATCAGGGCTGACATCTGGGGGTGGTTTGCAATCTGATTTAGGTCAAAGAGACTTTAATGGAAGGGAAAGCGAGGAGCAACAGGGAAGAAGGCCTAAGAGCACCCAGAGGCTGGGGTAGGGGATTTCTCAGATCTGCTTCCATGTATGATCTCCTTTCGCCTCCCCGTCCCCGTAAACTAAGGCCTCCTGTGTTCACAGAGGGTGTATGATTCTGAGGCTGACTGCACTGACATGGGGAGGCGCGATTTGCAGAGACTTGCTGGTGTCTGAGGAGTGGCAGAATCTGCTTATAGCCGAAGACGCCCAGTCCCAGATCGGACTAGCAAGGGGCAGCAATCACACTCCCTTAAAAATAGCTTCATTCACTGAAAAACCTCTTCCGCTCTGAACTCGCTTCTGCTCTTCAAAAAGATGCCCCAAACGTCTGCTGCTCGGCATCACCAAGGGTTTCTCTGCCGCATGCAGGACAATAGTACCCACGCCTTCTCCGCCTTTCCACAGCCACATTGGTCCGTGGCAACTCCCCTTTGTTCCCCAAAGAGTCACATCGACGCCGAGCTGCCCATCGGTCACTTACACTTCCCCGAGAGCACCTCTCCACTAGAAAGGCCGAAGAAACACTGAGAAGGATACAACATTGGCCCAGAAGCCAGGGACGCTCTGGATGACGGCGCCTCTGCGGTCTAGGTGGGGCTTGCGCCTCCGCTCCATCTTTTCCCGCTGCCGAGAAAAGGCCTTCCTGGCTTGGGCATTAACCGGCTCCAGCTCCACCTGAACGGCCAGCAGCTCCTCCAGTGCAGACTCTGGGGTCATGGGCCCAGGGCCAGGCACAGCCTGCTGTGCCCGCTGGGCCTCCTCCCGCCGCTCCACGAGGCCCTCCTCCTCCGCCACCACCTCCACCTCCGCCATTATGTCATCCAACAGCAGCACCGCCTCCTCCCCCAAAGCCGCCTGCTCACTCTCCACCCCGGCCGCCCCCTCCTGCACAGCCTCCATCCTGAAGGCGGTGCCCTCCTTGGCACTCGCACACACCAAGGCCTGTGCTGCCCGACCCACGCCACAGGAACCCTGCCGCAGCCTCTCTGGCACCCGGTAGGTCAGCGAGCCCTCAGGGCGCATGCGCCGGGCTTCCAGGCGCCCCCTAAGGGACTGCGCGCGAAGAGCCGGGGGGCCGCACCCAGGCCGACTTCCTCCCGTCGTGGCCAATCAATGGAAGGGCGGTGGGCGTCTCCCTGGGCGGCACAGCCACTGGCGGGCCTGCATCTCCAGCCCCCCCACCCCCCGCCTTCCCTGCCCAAGCCTCCTCCGAGAAGCCCTTGGAACTTGTGCCGGGTAGCTAGGCGTCCGGGCACACGCGGGCTGCGTGGCCTTTGGAATTGTGGGCATGGCAGCCCTGTGCCCTGACATCCTCAGTGTGGCAAGCCATGAACATCTCTATGTGTCATGAACACAGGAAACATCTCTCTTCATTAGGCAGGCCAGGTAGATGGTACATAAGGAATATTGCAGATCCAGAGGAGAACTTTCTCTGGTTGCTGGGGCGAGGGCGGCGGGGGTGGCCTAGCAGAAGTGAGTCGGGGCGGGTATGTGGGAGGAAAGTCACCTGCTTGTGCAGAGGTGGAATTCGTCTGCACTGTAGGCTAGAACCCTGGCATGTACTCTCGCAGGTCGAGGCAAATACAGGCTCCGAGTACCATGCTTCCTCCCTGAGGATGCTGTACTCCAAGGAGCATTCCAAAGGGCCTCTAGTCCTGTGCCCTGGGCACACCAGAGGCCAGCCGCCAGGGTTGGCCATTGTCGGCCTGCGCGCACGCTGTTGTGCACTGCCTTGACGACCCAGAGGCTCCCGCACCCGCAGCAGCCGCTGCGGTGCCTGCTGGTGGGGCTCTGGAAGCACAGGGCCTCGGCCTCTGGCTTCTGAGCTCCTATGCGCAGTTGACCCTGCTGTGGTCCTGAGCCCCACGGCGAGTGCGGCCATCTGCGGGCCCAGCGGGGCTCCTCAGGAAACCTGGGTCCATGTAGGTGTGGGACTAGGTTTTCAGCAGGGAGAGGCCCGTGGGTCTTTCACGGAGCGGGCCTCTTGGGGAGCAGCCCCCAGAGCATAGGGATACCGGGGATGTGCTGGGCTGTGCAGGCCAGGGTCTGTGGGAGCACCCAGGAGGGCACCGTGTTCAGGCTGGAGGCTCTGCTGGAGAGGACGGCCGGGGTACAGAGCAAGGAGGCAGCCTTGGAAGAGGAGGCGGTGCTGAAGGTGGAAGACATAATGGCTGAGGTGGAGGTGGTGGTTGAGGAGGAGACTGACGTGGGGTGGCAGAAGGAGGGCCAGCGGGCACAGCTTGGCCCTGGACCCAGCACACCCAGGCCATCAATGGACTCGCTGGAGGTCCTTCACTTGGAGGTAGACTCCGTGAATGCCCCTGTGGCCTGGGCTTCTGGGACAGAGCCATATCCTTGCAGCTGCCGATTCCAGATGGCTGGCAGCAGGGGATGGGCATCGGGCTTCGTGGGGGCATGGGGGCTGTTGGGGGAGGAGCCAGGAGGAGGCACATGGGGTGAGCCAGGAGGCAGGGGATGGGGGACAGGATGGGAGCCGAGGTCACGTTCCTGCAGCTGTGAGGGCAGCTTGCTTGTAGCAGCACTGGGAGCACTGGGAGCACGTGGTAGGGAAGGGGAGCCGAGCACAGCACTCACAAGGGAGAATCGCGGCGCCAGAGTCCCTTCACGCACAGCACAATGTCAAAGGGCATGTTTCCCTGGGAATGTCCTGGAGGAAGGGGAGTCTGCATGACATTGCCAGCCATTGAATCACCCCCGCTCTCAGTGCCCGTTTCCAGAAGGCTCGCCCCAGAAACACAAGGTGCTTAAGACTCGGGTTAGCGGTACATGGGGCTGCCGACCTCCACAAGGCAGGTACTAGCTCCCCAGATATGCTTTCTTCTGCCTGCCGGCGCTGCACCCAAAGGGTTATAGCCCCTGAGCGTATATAACCTCCTTTGCACCCACCCAGTCCCCATGGGGAGCGCCAGGAACTACCCTGCAGCCCCTTCTAACTACAGGGCTTCCTCAGGCAGACAGGTCCACCCCTCAGGGAGACTAGGATAAGAAGACACCACACACCCGGACATCAGCAGAGCATGTCCAGCACCCAGCAAGCAAAGGCCTCCTGCAGCTCATGAACCCAGAGAAGCAGCCGCCTCACACCACCCTGCCCCCGCCCCTGCCCCTCAGCTGCAACCACCTGCCCACTTTTTCTGCCTCCCGTCTCTGGTCAGCCCAGGCCGTCTTGGCCGGGGTCCAGCCACCCCAAAAACCACCACAGTTGTGGCATTGCCTCCTCACCAGACAGAAACAGAGGATCAACATCGGAGCGTGACAGGCCAAATGTCTGGGAGATATCCCTGCTCCACATTCTCTGTGCTCTTGCAGAATTGCAGGCGTCAGGAGGCTTGCCCACTGAATCATCTGGAGACTCCTTGACCAGATGTAGATTGTTTGGCACACCAGATGTTGACCTGGGTTGGAAACCATGATGAAGTGATGGATTTGCAGGTCAGGCTGGGGAGCCTGGGTCTGTGGGAGGGGTCCAGTGTCTGAGTCAGTTTGAGGTCCCCCTGGGGTCCAGGGTTGTCTCAGTTGCAAAGCTGGGAATGGGAAATTCATGCTTCACTCCAGCTAGCAGGCCACCTCAGCCCAGCTAGATGAAATGGTCCCATTGAATCCATACTCTTTCTCCTTCTTGGTTAGGCAGGTGGAGGAACTCAGGCATCCCTGTTACCGGCAGCAAGATGAAGATTTCCTTTTGTCACAGCCTTTATTTCCACAATGAAGTGATCAGTAAGTAGTACTGCATTGGCATCCTCGGTAAGGAGTGCCTCCTAGCATGGTAGGGGAGCCGGTATGTGGGAGGGTAGGTCTAGGATGAACCTTCCTGACTCCTCTCCCTCCAGGGTACAGGGTATCTCATTCCACTGCAGTCCAGTTGTTCTGGGATCATGAAGGTCAAGCCTCCAGCTGCAGGCAGTACACCTCCTACCTGAGCTTTTTCACCTGTTTGGCTGAACATGACTGCCCGGGTTTTGGTAGGATTGCTGAGGTGAGGTTCACCATGGGGCATCATGGGAAAGGACCTCGCTGGGCATTCCTTGGTCTCTGGGGAATTGGCATTAAACTGTGACATGAACTGTCCTGGACCCACTTCTGCAGTCCCCTAGATCATCAGCCAGGGCCTATGGCTCAATCCATTGCAGTTCTATTCCATGGTGGGAGGGACAGCATTTTAGAGGGAACAGAGGCCAGGGAACAGCCTAGGGCTGGGAACTGAGAGGTCTTTCAGTCCTGGATCTGTGCCCCACAGGGAGAACCCAAGGATCATGCAGGAAACTGCAATGAGCAATCCCAGGCCATCCATTGGTTGGGGGAGAAAGGCCCATCGGTGAACTGCAACACCCACATTTCAGGATTGGGGAACCTTAAGCCACTACAATGCATATGTGACTAAGATCAGTGGGTGAGAAGCAGAGCTTAAGGGATAGCTGTCTCATCATCACTTGCCAGCTCCCTCCCTTGCCCTGAGACCTCCTACCACCTGAGACTCAGTTTGAGCTCATCCAGGACCCTCTCCCTCTCTACACAGATATCCACCTGAGGCCCATCTAAGTCTACATTCCTTCAGAATGTTTCTCCCAGGTCTGTCATGTTCTGTTTTGATGACCCCGGGCTGCCCTGATATGTTATCCTCTCTGCTATCCTCACTCCAACTGCCCTGCCTTCCCATATAAGACAGTCCACTTCACAGGGAATCTGGAGGAATGCACTGGGTTCCAGTGTGATGAAATGTTCTATTATCTCCATGTACATGTATTTTAGAGCTTCCTCCAGGACTGGAAATGTGAAGAGATTGCAAAATGGCTGGGGACCTTCAGTATGTGTCCAGGGAGGGAACCTGGCTGGGAATTAAGGCCCACCTGAGTAATGGTATGGACATCCAGTGTCAGTTATCTTGATAAAGACCTGCTTTGTTACATCACCTACTATTAATATAAAAGTTAATTTCTTAGAATATTGAAAAAACAAATTTAAGTGCAAAGAAAAATAATTTCTTCATAATTGTATGGAAAAACTGCAGAAGGATCCATTTTCCATTATAAATATTATGAGAGACTTGAAGTGTTTATCAAGTTTTAAGATATATTTTTATTGTTCTACTCCTGGCAATTGTTATGATCATTTTTGCAATACAGGGACATGGACTCTGGAAAGTTTTTGAGGGACTTTCAGCTTCTTTTAGAGTACTTAGTCGTAAATTTTGAATTTTTTTCCCCTGTGGTTCTTTTCACTTTACTATTTGTACTTTATATGCAAGGTGTTAATTGTGTTTTCTTATTTGCCTCTTCTGGAACTTTTGTTTTCAAGGATTTTCTTTTTCAGTTAGATATGTGAGTTTGCCTCTGAGCACTTTTTCTAGCATAGATTTTTTTTTTAAATTCATTAGTTTTTGGGGGGGTGTGTGTGTTTGTTTGTTTTCAGATGAAGTCTCGATCTGTCATCCAGGCTGAAGTTAAGTGGCAAAATCTCGTCTCACTGCAACATCTGCCTCCCAGCTTCAAACGATTCCCCTGCCTTAGCCTTCTGAGGAGCTGGGATTACAGGCACATGTCCTGCTAATTTTTCTATTTTTAGTAGAGACTGGTTTCACCGTATTTGCCAGACTGGTCTCATACTGCTGTGATCTGCCTGCACTGGCCTCCCAAAATGCTGGGCTTCCAGGTGTGAGCCACCACGCCCAGCCTCATTTGTTTGTTAATGTATTTTAATCATTATTATATTTTCTTCATGTACATGTATTTTATAATTATTGAAATAATGTATTATATTTACTTAATACTTTTGTAGGATTTTATATGTAATATTTTCGCTCACCAAATACAGTATTGTGTATAGGTTAACCTTGTATAGTATTGTCATTCTGTCTTTCATAAATTATTCAAGAACTCCAATACTGTTTTTCCCCAACCTGAGGAGAACATGCAGATAGTTATAAAAAATTGTGCGAGGGGGTAAGTATGAAAATATAATCTGAAAGAATAATCAAATTCACAAATAAATTTCACATTTGTATTTTGCATCATTTTGAAAATTTTATTTGCTGACACATGAAATTCTGTATTCACCTTCATGTTAAATATACACTTTTGAATCAATTTCAAGAATGAAAGCAATCCAAGGCCATGCATTAGTTCAGGAAGTAGAAAGCAGTTGTTATGTAGAAAAAGATCATATTTAATGAAGGTATATTTAGAGAGATCTTAGAAGGCTTAAGTCAATATTTTTGTTTTTGTTGTTTTGGTGTTTTATCATACTGTGACCAGACTGTAGCATCAATAGTTATAGTCACTAGGCTACCAAAGTCTCAGAGCTGCAGTAATTATTATTGAGGAAAGTGGCAGTGTGGTTGGCTCTTTAAGGAGAGTAGAGGACTTAGGAGTTTCCACCCAAGCCACAACGGCCTGATTTAGTGGGTGGCCTTCTTTTGCTGAAGCAGATAAGATACAGGAGAAGTGTGGACTCACTGTAGTAGCTAGGGCTTTGAGACTGGTAAAGCATATTTGTCCCCTAGTGCCATTGCCAGATATTGGTCTGCGCATAATGACATTTTCTGGACTCACTGACTCCTGTAAATTCAAACGTAGAATTTGGATTTAAATCCCTATTCCAACTTCTTAAACTTAGAATTAATAAGTGGGTGATAAAATATGTATTCAGAAGAAAGGCAGACATCAGATAAGTACATAAGTAAATCTTCCTGGTAAAATACCTTCAAAAGTGTTACTACAAAAAAATCACTGAAGAGCATACCTTAAACAAGTTATTTTACTTGGAGAAATAGAAAAATGTTGGAGTCGTTTTATATACAATGTCTAATTTGTTTGAAGAACAGCATACTATCTCTTTAGTATGGCTAGAGATTAATAACTCATGTAAGAAAACTCAGATTGACAATAAAATTTTTCAGAGATTTTGTTCTGTAATTAAAGACTTTTAAAATGGTTTCCTACTGATCAATGATTCACTTATATTTATCATTTAGGCATATGCTGTATACCCTTCTATACAGGGACAAAGTTATAGTTTCTATCATGTAGATAGAAAAGAATTTGACTGTGTACCACATTTGCATTAATGTCTTTGACCTGAGTAATGAAGCAAACAATGGAACTGTCTATGTCAGGTTACAGGTGGGCACAGCTGGAAGCTTCCATCACTTGTGCTTTAACATTTCTGCATTCTCATCAGTCTCTCCTGGAAAGAAAATGGACTATAACTATCCTAAAGAACATATGTTACATGTAGACACTAAGTATTGAGATAAAACCTTGATTTGTCTTATCACTGTCTCGTCATTACATTTGTATGTGTAACTTACACAGAGAAATTCAGTGTATTTTATCACCATTAAATTTTACATCACACATTTATATATTTTATTATCTTTCTATTGACCTTTATTTTTCTTGAGATGCAGTTCCACTTTGTCACTCAGTCTGGAATGCAGTGGCCTGCTCACAGCTCACTGCAACTTCAGCCTCTTGGGTTCAAGCAATTCTCCTGCCTCAGCCTCCTGAGTAGCTGGGATTACAGGCACACACCACCCCTCCTGGCTAATTTTGTATTTTTAGTAGAGATGGGTTTTCCCCATGTTGGTCAGACTGGTCTTAAACTCCTGACTTCAGGTGATTTACTGGCCTCAGCCTCCCAAAGTGCTGGGATTACAGGCATGAGCCACCATGCCAGCTCCCAAACCTTTTTTTGGACAAGTTCTTGCTTGGTCACCCAGGCTGGAGTGCATTGGCACCATCTTCACACACTGCAGCCTCAACCTCCTGGGCTCAAGCTATCTTCCTCTCTCAGCCTCCCAGGTAGCTGGGACTACATGTGTGCAACACCACATCAAGCTATTTGTTGTTGTTGTTGTTTAGTGATGAAGTCTTGCTCTATTGCCCAACTGGGTATCAAATTCCTGGGCCTAAAACATTCTCCTGGTTGAAGCTCCCAAAGTGCTGGAAATATAGGATTGAGCCACTGTGGACAACATTGTCATTCTTTAATCACTTTTTAAATGCCACTCTTCAAAAGTAACAAGTAAATTTTACTTAAGAAATTCCAAATGCCAAGTCAAGTTCAGCTTCATTTTCATAAAGAGGTAAAAAGAAAACAAATCAAAAAACCTTCTTTTTCCTTTGTTTTGAAGTTAGCAAAGAGTTGGAAAACCAATCATGTCTACTTTGGTTTATAAAATTGACTGTACAGAGAAAGATCCTCATATAAATGTTTTCAGATCTAAAATCTTGTGAAGTTATCATCAGAACCATCATCTTATAAAACAAAAACACATTTCCTAGTGGGTCTCTTGTGTGGATTAAACATCTTATTATTAGTAATGTATACAATTGTGATTACAGTTACTCCTTGAAACATAATATTAAAAATACAAATCTCATTTATTTTTTACAACTGCTACCCCAGTGAGAAAAAGTAACACTGACCTGGTGTAATAATTTGTGCCCCAGAGAGCCAGCCTTCTGGACTATTCAGATTCTTCAGACAGCCGGAGTGCTGAGAGCCGAATGGGAGTCTGGACATCTTGGAGGAGTAGCAATGCCAGGATATTTCTTGCTGCTCCACTCACCAACCAGAATCTCTCATGCAGCAGAATGGTAGACACCTTCACAACTCTCAGTTGTGCCCCAGGATGCCTCAGGCCCAGTATCACAGCAGTGTCTTCAGGACTCCTGTGTGCATAGGCAAAGATTTATTACAATACATTCATTAGAAAACCTGAACCTTAAACCTACATCAGGCTTTCTAGCATATTTCTTTATTTATGATACATAAGGTCCCTAGCTCATCTTCAGAGAAATCAGAAATCTATGGATAAAGAGTTCATAGACAAGGGGATTGCAGAGGAATTGACTAACAGAGGTACTAATAAGCCAAACACTGTGACAAAATTTCTTTTTAGCCTAAAACAAAAATGTTATCCATATAAGTGAGATGCTCATGTATTATAGAAGTGAATTAGGACAGAGAAACCTTCAGCAATGTACTTATGGGATCATAAATCATAGGATATGGGAAGAGGCAGGCACAAACTTACATGTTCCTGACACAGTGGGCAGCTATGAGAACCCATGAGCTGCTAACTATGGACCCGCTGTAGACCTGACTGCCACAGCTGATGATCCCAGCCTGCCAAGGCATGGCATATTGCAGAGAAATCTGATCTGCTGAAGCTGAGGAGAAAAATAAGCTAATTGTGCTAATTTGAATAGAATTGCCATCTGTAGATCTTTTTTTTTTTTTTTTTTTTGTGAGACGGAGCCTCACTCTGTTTCCCAGCCTGGAGTGCAGTGGCGTGCTCTCTGCTCAGTGCAAACTCCGCCTCCTGGGTTCCTGCCATTCTCCTGCCTCAGCCTCCTGAGTAGCTGGGATCACAGATGTCCATCACTGTGCCTGGCTAATTTTTTTTGTATTTTTTAGTAGAGACGGGGTTTCACCATGTTAGCCAGGATGGTCTCGATCTCCTGACCTCGGGATCCGCCCGCCTCAGCCTCCCAAAGTTCTGGGATTACAGGTGTGAGCCACCGCACCTGGCCCATTTTTTTAAGTTTTAAATCCCTCCTATTTGTGCTAACCAAATTAGCATTGTTAAATATGACCAGCAAAGACAAACTTCTACGTCTTTTGTGTTCATGCATTTTTCTTGAAAAGAAGTGTTCCTCTTACTATCTTTCTGAGTTCATAGTTTCTTTATGTCATAGCTTAAATTTCTTTAATCAAAATATTGGGAGTCATCCCAGCTTTCTCCCCCATTGCAACATTTATATATCCATGATTGTAGCTACCCAGAAATCACTGAAGTAGATAGGCAACAGAAAATGTAATGATTTGAATGTATTAATAAATAATGAAAAATTTGGAGATAAAGCACCTGTCTCTAAAATGGAGGGGGCTTTTCTTCCTAAACTTACAATTTTAGTGAGATATCAAACCAATAGTTTAAATAGAAAATTCAAGATTGAGGTTCAGGAAAGAGCTCATATTTTTAAAATTATTTTAGCGTTCCTCAGAAAACTGAGTTGAAGCAATGCTCGTTTATATATATATAGAGAGAGATAAAAATGTTGAAGATAACCTGTCTGTAGAAGGGGTAAGGAAGTATAGATGAAATTAGAAGCATAACTAAGATCTTAAGTGTAGTTGTCTTTGAGTTAGACTTTGGAGGATGTGAGCAAATAATTATGGCCTCTTTTATGTTTTAAGTGTATTATTCACTGTAACTATGGCGATAGGTGGTAGCTATAAAATAGCTGTGGCTAAGTGCACATTTAACTCATGAGACCAAAAGAGATCCCTCAATTTCTAAGGAAACAAGTAGAAGTACAGTAATGTGAAATAGCCATTGCTAATATTGTGATAGGTTTTCTGATAGCCAAAGGAAGGGGGAAACTGATAATAGCAACGTAACCCAATCTAGTACACCAGCACCTAAAACTCATTACTTACCAACTATTACACTGTTTCCAAACATCAAAATATCTTTAACTTAAAATATACTTAATTTAAAATAACTCTATTACAAATGCAAGCTACTGTGTGGTAGTAAAGAAATGTCTTTGTGTTAGGAGAGTGTGTCTTAATATTAGCCCTATTCATCTTTTGCCATGAGAAATCGATCAATCCATTCTACTTATCTAGTATCAGAATACACATTTAAGATAACTATAATAATCATGTTAAATGATCTCTATCATAATCTATAGGGATACTATGGAAATTGAATAATATATCAAGTATGAAATGCCTTTGTAAGCCATAAGGAAATAACTTCCATGATTTGGGAGATAAAATATTGTGCATTTTTCAGGAAGAGCTTTCTCTCCTCTCTCCTTCCATCTACTCTTTTCTATTTCAATTACCTTCTTCTTTGGCTTTGCCTACCAAGGTTTTGAGCCTTACTCTGAGGCTGTGGCAGAGAGATGAAGTGTGGCCAAATGGAAGTGGGAGTGGAGATAAAAGTCAAGGCATCTTTAGAAGCAGAGACTGAAAGGGACATGGAAGCAGAGGTAGTCATGGGCCCCTGGTGGTGCCAGGGTGCATGGCTAGGCCATGGCACTCCCAGGAGCCAGAAAGAAAAGGGTGCACTTGGCTGAAGACACACGGCTTTGTGCAATGCTCCTCAAAGTGACTCAAGATTCCCACTTGCACCCAAGTGTCCTTTTGCTGTAGATGGCATACGAAAGGTGCTCCCAAGTCACGCTGCAAGAAACAAAGATACAAGATATGAATCAATATTTTGAAGGAGGGCCAGAAGTAACTTTTAGTGTGCAAGATATTCCTCTTTCTTCCTGGCATTCATACCCCATGAATTTGTCCCCTTACAGCCAGCCTCCCCAACAGCTGTCTTGGCCTCTACACAAAAAGTGAATTCATTCAGCTTGGGGCACAATTGGGCACAAGGGCTGACTTGTTGGTTGCTCAGGTGCCCTTTTTGCAGAATTCCAGAACTTCCTGATAGAAAACACAGAAGAGGTGTTTGTGTTTGTTTGTTTTCAAATTTAGCCTAGATTAGAGGGGGAAGTATGGTGAAGAGAAATACAGTTTTTTTTTTTTATTATTCAAGAGAGGATACTATTCTCTTTCCAAACATGCTTCTCTTCCATCCCAGGGTCTTCTTCATTACTCAGCCCTCATAAGGGACCAGCTAGATAGCCAATAGTCATATAGTTGTGTAAATTTCTCCTGTTCCAGACTTTCCTCCAAGCATAGAGGAAACACCAGGGGTTGAAAATGTAGTGGCTGCTTCAGGAAGATCAACCCAGGTCCTAGAGGTCCCTTGGGAGCTAGGTAGGGTATGGCATGGTCAATGCTCACAGTCAGCTTGGGCAGATTCCAGAAGATGACTAAGCCCCACTTGGACTAGGGCCAGGGCTCCTGAGCTTTTTCTGGGGAAAAAAAATCAAGAAAAATCTTATTATTTCCACATTTCAATTTGAATGAAGCCCTGGAGGTCACATGAATCCAGATGAAGTCCAGGTAAGCACTAAAGTAGAAATACTTCTTTAGAAACTATTTTCGAGGATCATTTGAGACCAGGTGCACAATATGATAAGAGCTTATTTATGCCAAAATAAAAATAGCCAGATGCAGTGGTGTGTGCCTGTGGTCCCATGTACTCAGGAGGCAGAGGTGGGATAATCTCTTAATATTGGGAGTTTGAGGCTACTGTGAATCACGCCACTGCACTCCAGCCTGGGCAACAGAGTAAGACCTTGTTTCTATCTCTGTTTCTCTCTGTCTCTCTCACACACACAGACACACACAAATAAAGGGAAAGATATTCATTAACAATCTCCAGTTGTAATTGCTTTATAATGATATCTTAATCTTGAAATGAATTACTTAGATTTACATAAAATAGGCACATCTAGCTGTGGTAAGGATACACTGTTCATTTAGTATGGAGCCAGCACAGAAATGGGAGAAAGACAGTTGTAGAGAAACTGTCAAGGGAATTCAAGTCCCCAAAACCCCAGCTAAGCAGCGTGAAGAAGTAGAATAGCTGGGGGAATGGCGCAGCTTGCTGTTTTTTGGTGCTGGTTATGACCAAACCTTAGAAAAAGCATCATACTGTGATGAAATCAGCCACATAGACCAGTGGAACAGAAGAGAGAGCCCACATGTATTCAACTACTTTTTGACGAGGGCACAAAGGGAACACATGCACCAATTACTGAAGAGATTATCCTTTCCCCATTGACTGTCTAAACTTCATTTTTGTGTGGCCAAAATTTCCCTTACAGTCTTGAATCACTTAAGAAGAGAACCCAAATTATAATCAACAGTCTATCCAAAACCAAGTCTTTCCTCTTAAGGAGAGATTCAAATATAGAAACTACAGCTGGAATCATGTGAAACATTTATGGGGCCACCTCCTGTTGCTATTTTAAAAAATGGTATCACATAACTTGTGGAAAAAACAAAACTGTGGTGGCCAAACTGGGATACCTTTGAAATGCCTAAACTAATTTACTTGCATTCTCAATCCAAAAAAGGCTGGCTCCATATTAAACAGAATAATTGGGAGAGTTGTTTTCAGTGATATTTGGAAGTTTCCAAAAAGCATTCTAATAAAGTTATTTCTTTACAAAAGGAGGAACAAAAACTTGTCTAGAACAATTCGTGAGTTTAAAAAGGCTTTGAAAATTTCTCCTTATCCACTCTCAGCCTCTCCTTTTCTTAATCTGATAATATCTGAACTACCTGCCCAGATCTACTTCCTATGCCTCCTCCTGCTCCTAATGTTTTAGCTCCATTTCTTCAACAGCGTGTATCAGGTAGGGTAGAACCTGACCTAGAAGATCAATCATAGTCAACGGTAGAACTTAAAGAAATAATTAATAAACTACCTGATTCTCACCAGGACCCTGTTGGTTTTGCCAAGAAATTTAAATTATATACTTAAGTTTATGTCTCTGTTTCCACTTTGAGAAAAATAAAAATTATTTTAAATAGATAACTAACGCAAGCTCTTGTTGTGAGCACAAGCTCTTGCTGATGTGGATCCACACTATATGTAAGAAATTCCACCTTATGACAAGATTCCATTGCTCAGAGTAAACAAAAAATTTAAACGGTATGTGTCACAAATACTCCTGTATCAGCATACAAGTCTCAGCCACTAACTTTTCAACTAGGTGTCAAAGGACTCACATTTGCCTTCTGGTTATATTAGCCCCCCTCCATCTTACAGAAAGAGACTTCTAGGAATTATATAATACCCACATGCTTTTCTCCCAAAAAGGGAAAATTGAATTTAGAAAAAGATATAAAACTGTGTTACTAGACATAAAGAAGAGTTCAAAATAAAATTCAATTGCATTCCATGTTGCCATAGAAGACACTCAATTATTGAGCAATGAAAGATTATAAAACCTTCTAAAGGTAGTGCCTGATCAGTTATGATCAAAGTCTTCCAATGATATCGGAAGAATCATCTTTGCCACCCCAATCAGTGTTCAAATAGATCCATCAAAAACTCATTCAAATGTTAAACAACATCATTTGAGAACTTAAACACTAAAAGGGATCAAGCCTATAATTTCCTTATTTTTTTATTATTATTATTATTTTAATTCCAACTTTTCTTTTAGATTCAGGGGATACATGTACAGGTTTGTTACGTGAATATATTGCATGAGGCTGAGGTTTGGGGTAATAATGATCCTGTCACCAGATAGTAAGAATAGTATCCAATAGTTAGTTTTTGAACCTATGCCCCTCTCTTTTTCTCCCTTCCCGCTCTAGTGGTCTCCAGTGTCTATTGTTTCCATCTTTATGTCCATGAGTACCCAATGTTGAGCTCCCATTTATTAGTGAGAACTTGATATATTTGGTTTTTGTTCCTGCATTAATTCACTTCCAGCTGCATCCATGTTGCTGCAAAGGATATTATTTCATTCTGTCTTATGGTTGCATAGTATTCTATGGCATATTCCATGGTATATGTACCACATTTTCTTCAGCGAATCTACCACTGATGGAAACATAAGTTGATTCCATGTATTTGCTATTGTAAATAGTGCTGCAATAAGCATATGAGTGAATGTGTCTTTTTTACAGAATGATTTATTTTCCTTTAGGTATATACCCAGGAATGCAGTTGTGGGTTGAATGGTAGTTTTGTTTTTTTAAGTTCTTTGAAAAATCTCCACACTGCTTTCTACAGAGGCCAAACTAATTTACATTACCACCAACAGTGTATAAGCATTCTCTTTTCTCCATAGCTTCTCCAGCACCTGCTATTTTTTTTTTTTTTTACTTTTTACTAATAGCAATTCTGACTGGTGTGAGATGATATTGCATTGTGGTTTTGACTTGCATTTTTCTGATGATTAGTGATAAAGAGCATTTTTCATATGTTTATCAGACACTCACATGTCTTTTGAGAAATGTCTGTTCATGTTTTTTTGCCATTTTTTTCCTTCAAACTTTTAGGTTTAGGGGGTACGTGGGCAGGTTTGTGACATGGGTAAATTGTGTGTTGCTGGGGTTTGATGTAAAAATGATTTTGACACCCAGGTAGTGAGCATAGTACCCAGTAGGTAATTTTTTAGTCTTCACCCTCCTCCCACCCTCCACCTCCAAGAAAGCTGTGGAGTCTATTGTTCTCTTCTTAGTGCCCATGTGTACTCAGTGTTTAGCTCCCTCTTATAAGTGAGAACATGTAGTATTTGGTTTTCTGTTTCTACATTAATTCACTTAGAATAATAGCCTCCAGCTGCACTCAGGCATCCATGCTGCTGCAAGGACACAGTTTCATTCTTATTAATGCTTTGCCCATTTTAAATGGAATTATTTGTTATTTGCTTTTTAAATTGTTTAAATTCCTTATAGATTCTGAATATTAGACCTTTGTTAAATGCAATAGTTTGTTTACTCTGTTGGTATGGTCTTTTGCTGTGCAGAAGTTCTTTAGTTTAATTAGATCCCATTGGTTAATTTTTTTTTTCCATTTGTTGCAATTGCTTTTGGCCTCTTTGTCATGAAATCTTTGCCCACTCCTATGTGTAGAATGGTATTGACTAGGTTGTATTCCAGGGTTTTTATAGTTTTAGGTTTTATATTTAAGTATTTAATCCACCTTGAGTTGATTTTTGTATAATGTGTAAGGAAGAGGTCCAGTTTTGATCTTCTGCATATGGCTAGCCAGCTATCTTAGCACCATCTATTGAATTTGGAGTCCTTTATCCATTGCTTATTTTGTCAACTTTGTCAAAGATCAAATGGCTGTAGGCATACAGCTTTATTTCTGGGTTGTTTATTATGATCCACTGGCCTATGTGTCTGTTTTTGTACCAGTACCATGCTCTTTTGGTTACTGTAGACTTATAGCACAGTTTGAAGTTAAGTAATGTGAGGCCTCCAGCTTTGTCCTTTTTGCTTAGGATTGCTTTAGCTATCCAGGTTCTTTTTTTTTTTTTTTTTGATTCCACATGAAATTTAGAGAAGTTTTTTTTTCAATTCTGTGAAGAAATGACATTGGTAGTTTGATAGGAATAGCCTTCAAATTATACAAAAAGAAGACAGACTATTCTCTGTAAAGACCATGTAACACTCCAATCCTTCTTTGAGAAATCTCAAAACTGCTTTCTTCAGTGACAGAACTAATACACATTCCCAGCAACAGTGTATAAGCATTCTCTTTTCTCTAAGGATACCAGATGGTAGAGGATGGATGATTGTACAGAATCTGAGAGCAATTAAAAACATTGTTATTCCCCAACATCTAGAAATGCCAAATTCATATACATTGTCAGCTGCCATTCCAACTGAAGGTGAGTTCTTTACTATAATAGACTTATGTTATATATTCCTTAGTATTTCTATGAATAAAAATAGTTCATTTCTCTTTGTTTTCACTTTGGAAAACAGACAATACATGTGGACAGTCAAGCCTCAGTACTATACTAAGAGCCAAACTTTTTACAGATAGTAAAAGATCTCTCTCAGATATTGACTTTAAAAATGTATGTTAATACAATAGATAGATAATTTACTCCTCTGCTAAGAGGATAAGCAAGTCTCTATTGAAAATGAGATTCACTTGTTACAACAATTAGCCTTAAAGAGACACAAGGCTTCTAAAGGTAAACTTCAATTTTGTCAAAAAAACAAGTAAACTACTTAGGTTATCTAATATCCAAGGAAGGAATTTTTATTAATCCAGACAGACTAAAAGAGATCTTAGCTTTTCTACCACCAAGAACCAAGAAAGTGTTGAGAGGGTTTGGGGGAATGACAGGATATTTTAAAAAATGAATCCCAAGCTATGTCTTAAAATGCCAGCCCTTATATGCTGTCTTAAAACGAGACATACTAGACCCTCTAGATTGGACAAAAGATCAACTAACATTAGAAATGATAAAATATTACCTTGCTAATACCTCAGCTTTGGGGCATCCAAATTATAATTTTTCATTTTCATTATATATACGTGAAAGTAGTGCTAACACTTTTGAGGGTCCTAACTCAAATACATTGAGACCAAAATGAACCTGTTAGGGTATTATAGCCATCAGTTATACCCGGTGGCTATAGAGCTACCACCTTGTGGCACTGCCATAATAGTCACTGCTTTGTTGGTTAAGGCAACTGAAGAAATTGTAAAGGGGATATCCCATAGTATTTTCATCCCTCATTTTGTGAAATCATTGCTAACCTTCACCACACTCAACGTTATTCAGTTAGCAGATTAGCTTTATATGAAGTTTTACTTTTTTCAGCTTCTCATATCACCATCTCTAGGCATAAAAATCTAAGTCCTGCAGTTCTTCTGCCTTTACTTTCAGATGAAACACTGCACAATTGAATAACCTTAACTTTTCAACTTCTCTGTCCTACGAGAAGAGAGTCTCCTTAATTATGCTGATGTAGTTTGGTTTAAAGATGGATCTTAAAGGACGTATCTGGGACTTACCGTGCAAGCTACTCAATATTATCTTTAACTGAAAAAACAGAACGTGTTTAACTTCCAGAAGCCACCTCAGCTCCAAAAGCAGAATTAATTTTATTGATTAGGGCTTGTTGATTGTCAAAAAGAGTAACTGCTAATATCTATACAAACAGTAGATATGCTTTCAAAGTAGCTCATAATTATGGAATACAATGGGAACAGAGAGAATTTTTAGCCTCTTCTCGTCAATTCATAGAAAATGAGCAGACAATTTTACAATTGTTGGAAGACATATTATTCCCAAAATCGCTGGCCATAATTAAAATCTCAGGCCATTTGAAATCAGATACACCAGAAAGCAAAGGAAATTAGCTAGCTGATAAAGTAGCACAAAGCTGTTCTAAATGCATCTAAACAAACAAACAAACGAACGAACCAACAGAAAATAAAAAGAGATCTATATTAACTTTAAAAAAACTCTGAATTTAACATAAAATTAGCTCAATCCAGAGCTCCAATATTAGAACAGAAAAGTTGGAAAACAAAAAGGAAATATCTTCCCGCAAAGAAAAGGTATAGTATGGGCCAAACAATTTGCCTATACTTGCTGCTGAATTGCGGTTACCATTTTTAACCTATATACAAGACCTAACTCACTGGAGCCCTGACAAAACAATTGCTTGGGAAAAACAATATTTTTGGAAACTTCTTATAGCTCATAAGGTATGAAATTGCTATTACGTTTGTTAAAAATATAATCTAAGGAAATTACTACATAGCTCTCAAGGACATTTTCCTTCACCCAAGGCCCCTTTTCAGGCACAGCAATTAGATTTCACCCAGTTACCATCTTCGAAAAACATGCAAATATGCTCTGGTAATGATTTGCACATTTTCAGAATGGGTAGAGGCATTTTCACACAAAATAGCAAAAGGCTTGTTGGTGAGTAAAATTCACTTACAAAAAAATATTCCAACCTTGGGAGTTCTGGAAACTCATAGCAACAGTGGCACTCACTTCACTAGACAAATAATTCAATTGGTGTGTAAAATTTGGCCCATTCTCCAACATTTCCATTGTGTTTACCATCCCCTGTCATCTGGGTTAGTGGAACTGATGAACTGAATAATCAAAACTCAGTTCAAAAAATCAAATGAGGCTTTTAAATTCCTTGGCCAAAAGCTCTTCCATGGATTCTTCTTAGTCTGGGGTTGAACATTTTTGGCAAGCACCAGTTATCCCCATTCAAAATGATAAAAGGCAGATCTGTGAAATTGTCTCCAGGAAACTATGCCTTTAATAGCAAACGGAGACATGTTTAGCTGTTGTAATGGCCTTATGACACAATTATATACAAATTATAAATTAGTAAAATAACGTTTTCACTGTGAACTCCCAGAAAACAAAACTTCCAAGGACCATGGACTTCAACTAGGAGATTTTGTCTATTGGAAACAATATTTATTTAAAAAAAAAAACACCTCTCTTTTACCAAAGTGGTATGGACATTATCAGGTACTCCTTAACAACCCTTGCACTGCTACGTTAGAAGGCATAAATTCATGGATTCATATGTATTATCTAAAGAAGGTTGAGACTTCTGATTTCACTGTTTCTCCAGAAGGTGACCTCCAACTTTGAATTAACTTGACACCAGGCTGAGAAAAAGATGGCATGTGATACAGACAGCTAAAACTCAAAACTGTGGACCAGGCTTGTAGCTAAATAAATGTTTAATACTAAAAATTGTTAAGAGATACAGAAGATTTTCTTTTATAAGCGCTCACTAAAATTATTTTTATCCTTAGTCCTTATGTCCTGGTACTACTACCACAAGCTGTTGCCCATGAAGAAAACCTCTTTTTGCAATGATTCCCAAACTATGCTGACAGATTACACAAAAATTCTTGCTGTATATGTGGCCTCATGCTCCAGTCCAGTGGTTCTGGCCTACCATGGTGGGTATCACTCCTCCAAGGACAAGACTGAATACAGTATAAAAATTTTATTCGTTCATCACAAAAATAGTCTGGCAACCTTAACTCTAGTATGACTAAGGATACTGTATATTATTGCCCTATGAGTTATACTTTACTAAATAAGGGACATAAGAAGAGCTTCTTGGTAGAAGAAAACTGGCTCACTATCTTTTGCTGTGGCACTGCCCCAGCTAAAAGAGAAGAAAATAATGATACCCCAATCAAAAACTCAATTTCAGGATGGTATAATACACATTTCATATGGGTTTATTTGGCTCACCTCCTGTTTTGGCTAGCCTTGTCAAAATGTACCTTAATTTGGGGAACAGAAAAATCACACCAAAGATAAATAGCCCAACTGAACATAGAGATATAGGATGCATACCCAAAGAATGGTATATCTGCATCATTTTATTACAAAGTACTGATTGGCATGCCACTAATTAGACATAATAACTGATTATTTATTGGTTAGCAGATATAGGATGGATACCCAAATAATGATTTATCCACATCATTGTGTTACAAAATACTGATTGGCATGCCACTGTATTACAAGTACTGATTACAAAGTACAGATTGGCAAATAACTGATTATTTATTGATTAGCTCCAAATAAAACATCTTGGCTATGTGGCACTAATCTATAACTATGGTTACCCACAGGATGGTTAGGATGATATTCACTAGGTTATGCTTGGGCACAGGGTTGAGTAGTTCACACCTCATTACTTGTCTTTCAGCTACAGCCTCTGCCCAAGGGAGCCCCACAGACTGGAACACCTAATACCCCAGAGAGCTTGGTGCAGAAGGCTTAGGGCAAAAGTAGATGATTGGGCCAGTTACTGGGGAAGCCACTGGAAGGAGACCCAGTCAAAGGAGAATGATCTAGGCGGTCCCTATAGCTGTCTTATGGGCAAAAATCCTTGGGATGCTTGTGCCATACCGGTGGCACACCCACAGCAACACTGCCCTGCCTGAAGATCCCCTGCTCTTGATCTACTGCATGAACAGACCACACACAGGCATACCCCACAACCCACTCTGATTCTGCCAAGCACAGAGGATCAGTGGGCCTCCAGCATTCTGTAGATCTCCTGGTGAACTAACCTTCACCTTGAGCCGACCCTAAAGGAGAGGAAAGTGCAGCCTGGCAGGGCCCCCTTTGGGGCTAAGGAATTACAGGCAGGGTGACAGTGATTGGAGAGGGGTCCCCTAAGGCCTGGGAATGGACCTGGCAGGGGAGTCATCTCTCCTCCCATCCCCCATATCTCTCCCCACATAGAACAGCTGTGAATGCGCTAAAATACAAAAGAGGCATGTCATTAAGAGCCTATCTGCTGGACATTACTCTTAGGTGTCATCTACTGGATTGCAGGTCTACTAGATTGCAGCCTGCACTACATCAATAACAACAACAAAAAAGATTTCTTCCAGTATACCTTGCCTGTGAAACCCAACGCAGGAATTTAGCCACAAATAAAGATCCTATGCAGAGTCTTGGCCCTCTGAAAGCACCCAGAAGTGAAGCCAATAGACCATTCTCAACTTACGCCAAAGTCAAACTCAGGGAAATAAAGTAGATAAAAACAAAAAGCCCCATCCAAAAGACAGCAATTCAAAATGATAAAGGAATGCCAGCACTTTCAGATGAGAAAGAATCAGCCTGAGAACAATGCCAATTTAAAAAGTCAGGGTCCTCTTACCTCCAAATGATGGTACTAACTCCCTAGAAATAGTTCTTAACCTAATTGAAATGACATCCATAGAATTTAGAATCTAGATGGCAAGGAAGACATTCAGGAGAAAGTTGAAACCTGATATGGTTTGGATATTTTGTCCTCTCCAAATCTCATGTTGACATGTGACCTCCAATATTGGAGGTGAATCTAGTTAAAGGTTTTGGGTCATGGGGGCAGATCCCTCATGAATGGCTTGGTACTTTTCTCACAATAATGAGTATGTTCTCACTCTGAGTTCACACAATATCTAGTTGGTTAAAAGATTATAGCACAGAAAGACAAAAATAACATGTTCTCACTTATTTGTGGTATCTTAAAACAATTGAACTCATAGACAGAGAGAGTAGAAGGATAGGTACCAGAGGCTGGGAAGTGTGGTGGGGTTTTGATGGGAAGGTGGGGATTGTTAATGGGTACAAAAAATAGTTAGAAAGAATGAATAAGATCTGCTATTCTATTTGATAGCCTAATAGGATGACTATAGTCAATAACTTAATTGTATATTTTAAAATAACTTAAAGAATGTAATTGAATTGTTACTCATAGGATAAATGCTTGAGGGGATGGCTACCTCATTCTCCATGACATGCTTATTTCACATTGCATGCCTTTATCAAAATATCTCATGTACCCCATAAGTATATATACCTACTATGTACTCACAATTTAAAAAAATAATAATTTTTAAAAAATTGTTTAGCACTTACTCCCACCCCCCCCCCCCACACACACACCATGTTATACAGCAGCTCCTCCTTTGCCTTCTACTATGATAGAAAGCTTCCTGAGGCCCTCACCATTAGCAGATGCTGGTGCCATGCATTCCTGTACAGCCTTCAGAATCATGAGCCAAAATAAATCTCTTTTCTCTATAAATTACCCAGTCTCAGGTACTTCTTTATAACAATGCAAATGAGTTCATACAAAAACAAATGGTAATGGGAAGTGGGGCATTGCTACAAAGATAATACAATATATGGAATCAGCTTTGGAACTTGGTAGCTGGCAGAGGTTGGAAGCATTTGGAGAACTCAGAAGAAGACAAGAAGATGTAGGGAATAGTTTGAAACTTCTTAGAGGATTGTTAAGTGGTTGTAACCAAAATGCTGGTAGAAATATGGACAGTGAAGCCAGGCTGACAAGAACTGTGACAGAAATGAGAAAGTTTTTGAGACTAGAGTAAAGATCACTCATATTATGCCCAAGCAAAAAAAAAAAAAAAAAAAAAAAAAAAAAAAAAAAAAAAGCCTGCATTAAGCTCATGTCCTAGGGTTCTCTGGAAGTTTAAACTTAAGAGTAATGACTTAAAGTATCTGGAAGAATACATTTCTAAGCAGTAAAGTATTCAAGACATGACCTGGCTGCCTCTAACAGCCAATGATCAGATAAGGGAGTAAAGGAATGACTTAAAGTGGGAACTTATATTTGAAAGGAAAGAAGAGCATAAAAGTTTTAAAAAGTCAAAACCTGGCAGTGTGGTAGAGAAGGAAAGAATACTTTCAGGGGAAGAATACAAGTGGGGTTGAGGAGCAACTACATGCTGGAGAGATTTACATGACTAAAGGGGATCCAAGTGCTAATATCTGAATCAATGAAAAAAAAAGGCCTAAAGGCATTTAAGAAATATCTGAGGCAGCCTGTCCCATCACAGATCCAGATGCCTAGGAGAAAAGAATGGTCCATGAGGCCAGGAAAAGGACCCTGCTGCCCTGTGTAGTCTTGGTACACTGTTCCAAACATCTAGATTGCTCCAGTTCCAGCCTCAGCACAAAGTGTCCCAGGTACAGCTTTGGCCACTGCTTCAGAAAGTATAAGTTGTAATTCTTGACTGCCTCCATGTATTGTTAAGTCTGCAGGCTTGCAAAATGCAAGAGGTAAGGAAAATTAGTAGCTTACCCCTGGATTTCAGAAAATGTATGGAAAAGCCTGGGTTCCCACAAAGAGGCCTGCTCCACAGGCAGATGCCCTTCAGAATACATTTGATGGGGCAGTGTGGAAGGGAAGTATGGGGTTGGACACCCCACAGAGAGTCCCCATTATGGCACTGCCTAGTGGAGCTGTGGAAACAGAGCTGCAGCCTTCTAGACCCCAAAGTGGTAGATCCATTGACAGCTTGCACCCTGAGCTTGGAAAAGCCACAGACACTCAACTTCAACCCATGAGAGTAGCAACAGGGGCTACATCATGCAAAGCCATATGGGTAGAGCTGCCCAAGGCCTTTCGAACCCACCCCCTGCATCAGTGTACCCTAGATGTGGGACATGGATTCAAGGATTATTTTGGAGCTTTAAGAATTAAAGTCTGCCCTGCTGGGTTTCAGACTTCTGGGGGGCCTATTGCCCCTTTCTATTGGCTATTTTCTCTATTTTGGAATGGGAATGCCTACTCAATGCCTGTACCACCATTGCATCTTGCAAGTAAATAGTATGTTTTTTATTCTACAGGCAAAAAAAAAAAAAAAAAAAAAAAAAAAATGTGGAAGAAATGTACCTAGAGTCTTGGGTGAGATTTTGGACATTTAAGTTAATGCTTGGAACTAGTTAAGACTTTGGGAAATTATTGGTAAGGGATAATTTTATATTGCAATCTGAGAAGAACATAAAATTTGGGGGGCCAGGGATGGAATGATATGGTTTGGGTGTTTTATCCTCTCCAAATCTGATGTTAAAATATGACCTCCAATATTGGAGGTAGGCACAGTAGTAGGTGTTTGTATCACTGGGGCAGATCCCTCATGAATGGCTTGGTGTTGTCCTCATGATATGAGTGATATCTTGCTCTGAATGCACATAAGATATAATTCTTTTAAAAAGTGTGGTACCCCTCCCACTCCCTCTCTCACCGTCTGATGTGTCAGCATGCCCTTTGTCTTCTGCCATGATTGAAAGCTTCCTACGGTCCTCACAAGGAGAAATGTTGGTGCCATGCATCATGTACAGCACTCAGAATCATGAGCTAAAATAAATCTCTTTTATTCATAAACTACCCAGTCACAGGTATTCCTTTATAGCAACATACATGAACTAATACAAAACCCAATTCAAGGAAACCAGTAAAATGATCCAAGAGAAGAAACGTGACATAGCAATTTTACAAAAGAACCAAACTCAACTTACAGAACTGAAAAAAATTACTACAATAATTGTACAATATAATTGAAAGTATTAACAAAAGAATACAGCAAGCTCATAAAAAATTTCAGTTTGAAGACCAGTCTTGAATCAACTCAAGTAGACATTTTTTTAAAAGAATTTTTAAAAGTGGCCAAAATGTCTGAGAAATATGGAATTATATAAGGAGACCAAACCTGCAACACACTGGCATTCCTGAGAGAATAAGAAACTTAGAGAACATATTTGATGATATAGTTAATGAAAATCTTCCCTACCTTGTTAGAGAAATTGACATGCAAATTCAAGAAAAAAAAAAATCTGCAATATACTATGGAAGATGACCATTCCAAAGACACATACTCATGAGATCATCTGAGATCAACATTAAAGAAAAAAATCTTAAAGGAAGCTACAGACAGGTGTCAGGTGACATAAAAAAGGAACCCCATCAGGCTAACAGCAGACTTTCTAATGGAAAAGTCACAAGCCAGAAGAAATTGAAGGCATATTTTAGGATCAATAAAGAAAATAAATTCCAACCAAGAATTTCATATTATCCCAAACTAAGCTTCTTAAGTGAAGGAGAATTTTTTTTTTCAGAAAAGCAACAGCTAAGGGAATTTATTACCACTAGGTTGGCCTTACAAGAGGATGTTATGAAAGTGTTAAACATGGAAATTAAAGAACAATTACTGTTACCACAAAAACAGCATTTAATGTACCTAAGTACATTGCCCACATACACTAAAAAACAACTACACAACCAAGTCTATTTTATTATTATTTTTTTTTTTTGAGATGGAGTTTTACTCTTGTTGCCCAGGCTGGAGTGCAATGGTGCGATCTTGGCTCACTGCAACCTCTGCCTCCTGGATTCAAGCGATTCCCCTGCCTCAGCCTCCCAAGTTGCTGGGATTACAAGCATGTGCCACCACACCTGGCTAAGTTTGTATTTTTAGTAGAGACGGGGTTTCACCATATTGGTCAGGCTGGTTTTGAACTCCTGACCTCAGGTAATCCACCCACCTCACCCTCCCAAAGTGCACAATGAAGTCTATAAAATAACCAGCTAACAACACAATGACCAGGATCAAAACCTCAAATATCTTTATTAAGGTTGAATGTAAAGGGTCTAAATACTCTACTAAAAAGAGAGAGTGGCAAATTGGATTTTAAAAAAAAATACAAGCCCCAACCTTCTACTGTCTTCAAGAAAGCCATGTCACATATACTGATAACCACAAGCTAAAAGTAAGGGGATGGAGAAAAAGCTATCATGCAAATTTAAAAAAAAAAAAAAAAAAAAAAAAAAAAAAACAGAGCAAAGGTCGCTATTCTTACAACAGATAAAACAGATAAAACAGACATTAAATGAACAACAGTCAAAATGGACAAAGAAGGGCATTACATAATAATAAATGGCTCAATTCAACAAGAAAATTTATCCTAAATTTATATGCACCCAACATAGGAACACTCAGATTCATAAAACAAGTTTTCCTCAACCTACAAAAAGTCTTACACAGTCACACAATAATAGCGAGGGACTTCAACACCCCACTGACAGTGTTAGTTCTTCAAGGGCAGAAAGTTAACAAGGACATTCTGGACTTAAACTTGACACTTGACCAATTGGACAGCTAAAAGACATCTAGAGAATACTCCATCCAACAATTCCAGAAAATACATTCTTCTCATATGCACACAGAACATACTCTAAGATTGACTACATGCTCACCCATAAAGCAAGTATCACAAAATTAAAATATATATATATATATATATCAAAATCATACCAGCCACACTCTTGGACTACAGGGCAATAAAAATAGAAATCAATATCAAAAAGATCTCTTAATACCAAAAAAATTATATGCAAATAGACAACTTCCTCCTGAATGACTTTTGGTAAACAATGAAATAAGGCATAAATCAAAAAATTCTTTGAAATTGTTAAAAGTAAACACAACATACCAAATTGTTAGAGATACAGCTAAAGCAGTGTTAAGAAGTTTATAGCAATAAAAGACTATAACTTGGGTTCAGTGTATACTGCTTGGGTGATGGGTGCACCAAAATCTCACAAATCACCACTAAAGAACGTACTCATGTAACCAAATACCACCTGTTCCCCAAAAGCCTATGGAAATATATATTTTTTAAAGCCTACATCAAGAAGTTAGTTAAATTAACAATCTAAACTTGAACCTACAGGAACTAGAACAACAAGAACAAACTAACCCCAAAACTAGTAGAAGAAAATAAATAACCAAAATCAGAGCAAACTGAGCAAAGTTGAAAGCCAAAATTCCATACAAAAGATTAACAAAACCAAAAATAAATTTTTGAAAGAATAAACAGAATGGATAGACTGCTAGATTAACAAAGAAAAAAAGGAGGGGAGATCCAAATAAACATAGTCAGAAATTACAAGGTGACATTACAACCAATTTCACAGAAATATAAAAGATCCTTGGAGACTATTATAAATACATCTATGCTCACAAACTAGGAAATCTAGAGGGAATGAATAAATTGCTAGATTCACCTCCCCAGATTGAACTAGGAAAAAATTGAAACCCTGAACAGACCAATAATGAGTTCTGAAATTAAATCAGTAATAAAAACTTACCAATAAAAATTTCTGGACCAGATGGATTGACAGCTAAATTCTATTAGATATAGAAGAAGTGGTACCAATCCTACTGAAACTATTCCAATAAATTGAGTAGGGAAGAATCCTTCCTAACTCATTCCATGAATCCAGAGTCATCCTAATACCAAAATCAGGTAGAGATGCAATGAAAAAAAGAGAACATTTCAGGCCAAAATCCCTAATGAACACAAAAGCAAAAATTCTCAACAAAGTACAAGCACACCAATTCCAGTAGCAAGTCAAAAATTAATTCACTATAATGAAGCAGGCTTTATTCCTTGGATGCAAGTTGGTTAAACATACACATATCATTCAATATCATTCACTACATAACAGAATTAAAAACCTTACGATCATTTTAATAGAGAGAAAATGCTTTCAATGAAATCCAACATTCCTTCATGATAAAAATCCTCAGTAAACTAGACATTGAAGAAACATACATCAAAATAAGAAAGCCATCTATGACAAAGCCACAGACAGCATCATACTGAATAGGCAACAGCTGGAACTATTCCTTTTGAGAACTGGATCAAGAGAAAGATGCCCACTTTCACTACCCTATTTAACATAGTACTGAAAATCCTTTTCATAGCAATTAGACAAGAGAAAAAAATAAGTCAAATTGTCTTTCTCCACTATGTAATTCTATACCTGAAAAAATACCTAAAAACTCTACCAAAAGGCTACTAGAACTAATAAACAACTTCAGAAAAGTTTCAGTATGTACAATTAATGTACTCAAATCAGGAACATTTCTATATACTTAGAAATGTTCTAAGGTCAAGCTGAGAGTAAAATCAAGAATGCAATCCCATTTACAATAGCTACAAAAGAATAAAATACCTAGTAATATGACTAGCCAAAGAGGTGAAATATCTCAACAAAAACTGCAAAAACTGCTGAAAGAAGTCAGAGGCGACACAAACTGAAAAACTTTTCATGTTGATGGATTAGAAGAATCAATATCATTAAAATGGCCACACACCCCAAAGCAATTTACAGATTCAGCACTATTCCTACCAAATTACCAAAGTTATTTTACACAGAATTAGCCAAAAAAAAATTTCTAAAACTTATATAAAACCAAAAGAGCACAAATAACCAAAGAAATCCAAACAAAAAGGACAAAGCTAGAGGCCTCACATTACCCAACTTCAAATTATACTACAAGGCTATAATAACCAAAACAGCATGCTACCAATACAAAAACAGACACATAGACCAATGGAACAGAATAGACAACTTGAAAATAAAACTAAACACCTACAGCCATCTGCTCCATGACAAAGTCTAAACAAATAAACAATGGTGAAAAAAACTCTCTATTCAGTAAATAGTGTGGGAATAACTGGCTATCCATATGCAGAAGAATGAAACTGGGCCACTACCTTTCACCATATATAAAAATTAAATCAAGATGGAGTAAAGATTGACATGTAAGATCTCAAAGTATAAAAATTCTACAAGAAACTCTAAATAATACCATTCTCAATATCAACTTTGGCAAAGAATTTATGGCTATGCCCTCAAAAACAATTGCACAAAAACAAAATTGAATGTGTGACCTAATTAAACTAAAGAGATTCTGAAGAGCAAAAGAAACTATCAAGGTCATAAATAGACAACCTACAAAATGGGAGAAAATATTCAAAAAGTATCCATCTCAAAAAGGTCTAATATCCCAAATCTATTAGAAACTTAATCCAAGAAGCAAAAAGCAAATGACCCACTAGAAAGTGGGCAAAGGACAGGAAAAAACACTTCTCAAAAGAAGACATATAAGCAGCCAACAAACATGGAAAAATTCCCATTGTCACTAATCATCAGAGACATAAAAATCAAAATGACAATGAAGTATCAACTCACACCAGTTGGAAGTTTTGTTTGTTTGTTTGTTTTAAGTAAAAAACTAACATATGTTGATGAGGTTCTGGAGAAAAGACAACACTTATATACTGTTCGTTGGAATAAAAATTAATTCAGCCAGTATGGAGAGCAGTTTGAAGATTTCTCAAAGAACTAAAAGTTGTGCTACCAATTGACCCAGCAATCCAATCCTGTTACTCAGTACATACTTCCCCCAAATAAATTATTTTATCAAAAAGACACAGGCACTTATATGCTCATCAAAACACTACTCACAATAACAAAGACATGCAATCAACCCCAGTGCCCATCAACAGTGAACTGGATAAAGAAAGTGTGGTACATATACACCATGGTATTCTGCACAGCCATGAAAAACAAAAGAAATCATGTTCTTTGCAGCAAGATGGATGCAGTTGAAAGCCATTATCCTAAGCTAAGTTTGCAGAACAGAATAGTAAATACCACGTGTTCTCAGTTATAAGTGGGACCTGAACACTGGCTATACATGCGCATAAAGATGAGATCAATATGACACTGTGCAATACAAGAAGGAGAAGGGAGGGAAGGACGCAAGGTTTTAAAACTACCTGTTGGATACTATGCTCTCTACTGGCAGGACAGATTCATTCATACTCCCAAACTCAACATAACACAGTATGCCTTGTAATAAAGCTGCACATGTGCCTCCTGATTCTAAAATAAAAGATAAAAATTTGTAAAAGGGAAAAATATATACAAAAAACAATCCTGTGTTTATATCCCAGATGAATTACATAACATCACCAAATTAATGACAGATATGCAAACCCGAATAAGCAATGTTTGAGATTCAAAACGCTTAGAGAGGTTTTGCCATAAAAGTTAAGGCATAAAAGCCGACTCGCCTATTACAACTGTTTTTCTTCTCTGGTGCATAACCATTGTTTTCTGACCTTTGTGTTGAGATGTTATACATTATCCAGACTTCCTATTATTTATTCAAACCTAGATTAAATGATGTTAGAGATAGAGACCCTTGTGACTGTTACCTCTTTATAAAAGAATTTCAAACCACTCCATTCTTGTGTAATCAATAGTAGCTAATTAGGTCTTATGTCTGTATTTTAGCCTTTGTATGAAAAATGTAATTCTGTTCAGCAGCTTTGTTTGGCCTATATAAACAATCCTCATTTTTCTCGTGTCAGGAGCCCTGATTACCATTCTTCTTACCATTCTTCCTTGATGAAGTTCTGCTTCCCAGACAGCTTCCCTCACACTTTGCACTTGAATAAACTCTTTTAACTACATCCTGAGCCTTTTGATTGTTTAAGGTTGACAACAAGACTTGCATAAAATCACAGAGAAAAGTACAGCCATAAGACAAATAAATCAACCAACAGGATGAGCTTCACCAGAAAGAGAGATATGTTGAAACATTTTGATGCCAAGATTCATTTAATATGAAATCCAAAAATGTTAATATAAAAATGGAAAGAACAATACCATGAAACATATTTACCAAATACAAAATACCAAATCACAGAACATACCTGTAAGATCTTTTAAAAGTAAAAAAAAATTCGGTTTTTCTCCTCTTCAGTTTAGTAGATTATGCCTAATCTTCCTCTAACGATACAAATAATAAAAGGAAGATTTAAGAATATACTCAAAGAGACCAATGATATCTAGAATCAATAACAATACTTTTGTAAACTGTTAAACTGTTTTACAGTCACAATCTAAAGCATAAATAACCTTTTTTAGTATGTTGCTAACTGGACATTTCTAGCTCCAGAACCACTCATAACAATCATACAAAAGCAGCCAGAAAATGTTAAAATATTGAAGGAAACTTTCAGAATAGCATCATTAAAGAAGATAAGTAAAGTGGCATAGAAAATGTATTCAATAATTTAAAATAAGAAAATCAGGTGATTTATATGACTTACTTTATCTTGCCCTTTTTTAAAAAAGAGCTAAACCCTTGTTAACATGTTCTTTTCTTCTCTTAAAAAACACAATATGTAAAAAAGGTGCAACTTTTTGCAGTCACCTTGAATCTCATCAGCTATTCTTGGCAAATTTGTAGACGTGAACTGCATCAGAAACTCATTAAGGTTCCAGAGGAAAGTTAGAACAAGGAGCACAGAAAACTTCTTTTTAAAAAGTCTCTATTTTCTGGGATCTATTACCATAATTTAAAAATATTTAAGATTTATTGAGTGTTTGCTATATTCCAGATAATGCAATAAGAGCTTTATTTATCTTTTTATGTATTTAACCCTGGAAGCAACCCCTTGAAGTAGATGGCAGTAATAACCCCATTTTATAGATGATGAAATAGAAAGCTTAAATATCTTGCCCAAATTGTTGCCAAAATGTTACCCATGTGATATAAGAGGTTAAGCCTTTCTTAAGGTGATGCATATTTAAAAGCGTAGTATTTCAAAGGCATCTCCAGCTATTCTAGAGGGGAAGCCTATTTCAAATGTATGATTAACACTACTTATCTTGATGGGTGTTGTGGTGTAGGACTAAGGAAAATTTATTTTCTGCTTTGGGATAAACACTTTATCAGCTTTCCATTTATGTTGATAAAAAGCCAAAATCCTTTCCTAGAATGAGGAATTTAAGGAACTTGTTAACTGAGTATAGTCATGTAAAAATCTTCTCCAGTGTGGTCCTGAGTTGCAGCTTTACAAAGTGATCAATTTTTAATTGCTGAAGAGAAAGAACTTTCTTTTCTGATGTATTGCAGGCAGGTAGGGGGATTGATGGTGAGCACCCTGGAGAGAGGACAAGGGCAAGGCAGTTCCAGTAAGTGAGCTATAAACTATACTTTTCACAGAGAATCCTGTAGAAGAGGGCAGACTGAAATACCAGTTAGGAAGTTCCCTTGATAGGCACTAGTCAATGAACATTAGGTAAAATATTACACCTTGTTTTTGTTATTTTTTCCCTTCATTGCAATTCTCAATAGTTTGTTCCCAAGCTTCCATATGGATAATACTTAGCTAGCATGTACTATGTGCCAAGCACTGCTCCTAATGCTCACTTGGAAGTAGTCCATTTAATCTTTAATGAAGGTCTATGATATCAGTACTAGTATTATCTTTGTTTTACAAAAAAAAATACAATTCAGGCATCAAGTTAGTAACTTCCCTAGGATCTTACTGCTAGTAAGTGGCCAAATGGATTAGAACCTAAGACATAGTATCAGTGTCCACACATTTAACCAGAATGCTATATTACTTCACAGAAGAGATCTGATAGCTTCTACAGATTAGAGTTAGAAAATATTTAGGACATTAAGAAAGAAATGTTAGTTCACACTGGAGTGAAGTGGCACTGGAAAAGAGAAAACAACATCAAAAAGAGAAGACCAGAGCTTGTGTCTGTAGGAAAGGTGATAAGTGAAGCCAGCATCAATTTGTGGAATATGTAAGAATTTTCCAGGGATAATCAGAAATACTAGGGAAAGAGAAGGCCATAGAAGACAGAACTTGCAATCAGCTAGAATGAACACTCATTAACTTAGATACTTACTAAAGAGAATTCTTAGGGGCTTGAGAACTTTCAACTTGGAAGCATTCTAAAAATGAAAGGCTAATTTATTATTTAAGAGTTCTTGCCTCCTGATACGTACTTGTGTGGGCAATGTCAAGGTTTGCTTCACTACCCCTCTATTTTTATTCTACATTTTCTGCTTTTCCCTCTTCTCCCCCCATACTATACCACCATCCACACAAGCAGCAAGCACACCTACATCTATATATTTTATCTTTAGATATGTTAATAACTTTCAGCTGGTTATCATTACGTCTTGCCTGGGAGCCATTCTTTCCATTTTGGGAGTTGGCATACAAATTCTTTGCCCTATGAGGAGTTGATATTAACTAAATTTATTGAACAGTGTTTACAGCTGAGATCCTAATATTGTGCCATTGTACATCTTGCTTTTACACTTTTTATTGGAGGTGTTTCCAACTTGTGTCAATTTGACTTATTAGAATACAAAATATATGTATTTGAAACAGAATTTTAAAGAATTATTTAAATACTGTCTTTTAATTCTATTTAACATCCAATAAATTTATTGATTCTCTACGCAGGGCTCACAATATTTGTTTTGTCACTCAGATTTCCCTACTCTTTATCTTCTCTAGCCATCCTATTGTTTCAGTGGCAATTCAGATGACTATATGACTCTTCTATTCCCAAATCCCCTCAGCCATCCTGAGTAGATCATAAAGTCAGCCACAAAAGTGTTCTTATTCCAGTTCTATACAACGCAAGTGATCATTAGATTCCATCATTGTCTCAGAAACAACAGTTTGTAGTTGGACCAGGGTCTGACCTCTATGTTCTTTTTGTCAAATGATGAGTTATTGGACCATCTGATATGACATTAATGGAACAGCAGCATATAAGACTCATGTACACATTTGTCATGGACAATTTGCAAAAAGACTAATAGCAAAATAAGGGTTGGGTTATGTCAAGCATAATGAATGTCATGATTCAAATTAAATCTAAGCCAAGAAAACAAGTTTCCAAGTGGTCAGTTCTTTCAATTTAGAGATTTGTCATTTTACATGGCAGTAGTATTAGTCTGAGTGTAACATCAAACACCATTTTGGCTAACAGGGAATCTATAGCTACTTATTTGTCTATTAGCACTTGGACAAAAAACAATTAAACTTCTCCATTGAAACTTAAAAGCTGTGAAAGTATTGTTTACCACTTAAGCTAAGGTATTGACAAACATCTGCCCATTATAGAAATCATCGTGTGAATGGTAGGTATAAAAGTGAGTGATTTTCTGGGTAATTTTTCATAAACCCCTTTAATTTTTATGATAGTGGGCTCATACCTCAATGATAAATTAACCACAGGTTGTGGATTACTCTTGAATAAATACATCTCTAACATCTCATATACACAAATCAAGTTTATGTGTGGTAAACAAAAAACAAACTTGATCTTCACATAAAACCAGTACCCTGATTAGGTACAGATTGTACTGGAGATATAGAGATGGTTTAACATGACAGGTATATTACTCCATTCTCCCACTACTATAAAGAACTATCTGAGACTGGGTAATTTATAAGGAAAAGAGGTTTAATTGACTCACAGTTCCACAGGTTATACAGAAGGTATGGATGGGGAGGCCTCAGGAAATGTACAATCATGGTGAAAGAGCCAACAGGAAGCAAGCAGGTCTTCACATGGCAGCAAAAGAGAGAGAGAAGGGGGAAGTGCCACAGACTTTTAAATAATTAGATCTCACAGGAACTCACTCACTATCACAATAAGAGCAAGGGGGAAATTTGCCCCCATGATCCAATCACCTCCCCACAAGTTCTTCCCCCAACATTAGTCAATACAATTCAACATAAGATTTGGGTAGGGACACAGAACCAAACCATATTATTGTGACCCTGGATCCTCCCAAATCTCATGTCCTTCTCACATTTCAAAACACAGTTATGACTTTCCAACAGTCCACCCAAAGTCTTAACTCATTCCAGCATTAACTCAAAAGTCCAAGTCCAAAGTCTCATCTGAGACAAGACAAGTCCCTTCTGCCTATGAGCATGTAAAATAAAAATCAAGTTAGTTACTTCCAAGATACAATGAGGGTACAGGCATTGTGTAAATGCTCCTATTCCAAATGGACAAATTGGCCAAAACAAAGGGGCAGTAACCCACTCTCAGTACCAGTTTTCTGTATTAGTCCATTTTCATACAGCTATAAAAAACTGTCTGAGATTGGGTAATTTATAAATAAAAGAGGTTTAATTGACTCACAGTTCCACAGGATTTACAAAAGGCATGGCTGGGGAAGCCTCAGGAAACCTACAGTCATGGCAGAAGTGTGAAGAGGTAGCAAACACATCTTCACGTGGCAGAAGGAGAGAGAGAGAGAGAGAAAGAAAGGGCAAGTGCCAGAGACTTTAAACCATCAAATATCATGAGAACTCAGTCACTGTCACAAGAACAGCAATGGAAAAATCCACCTCCATGATCAAGTCACCTACCACCAGGTCCCTTCCCCAGCATTGGGAATTACAATTCAACATGAGATTTGGGTGGGGACACAGAGTCAAACCATTTCAACGGAGGTGCCCCAATTAACTTTCTGAGTGAAGCTGAAAAATTTCTGAAAATTAGGATGGATTATCTCCAAGAAAAACAGATTACTGTTAAAAAAAAGAAAGTGCCAAGGATTAATCCTGCCCCTGTTGTGTTTCTGGACCCCATGGACAGTGTTATGATTAATTTTGCATAAGTTTTTTTTTTGCTCCATGATCAGGGTCCAATTTTTAAATTATTGTATATTGAAATTAAAAATGTGAGAATATTTCTCATTAGAAGAGCCTAATGGAAGAAGCATTACTCTCTGAAGTGTTTAATGGAGTGCCCATGACATTTTTAATTTCTTTATGAAATATAGTTTACATATGGAAAAGTGCATGTAAGTAAACAGGTCAATGAATTATAAGAAATGGAAAACACTCATGTAATTCACATTTAGATCAAGAAGCAGAATACAGGCCAGCATCCCAGAATTCCTACTTATGCTTTCTACTAATCACTATTTCCCCCAGGGATAACATGATCTTAGATAATTACTACAAAGTGAATACCATTATACCCACCACCCAGGTCAAGAAAAGGAACTTTTCACGTTATGCTAGAAGTCTTTCCATTGGTCCCATCTCAATCACAATTTTTTCTTCCTTCCAAAAGTAACCATCATTCTGACATTTTAGTAATCACTTTCCTGCATGTCTTTTGGTTTTATTACCCACGTGTGCAACCCTAGACACTATAGCTTTAAGCTTCCCCATTTAAAAAATGATATAAGTTTTACATCACATTTATCCATAGATTTCCTCTCTTCATTCTTTTCTTTCTTACAATTTATTTGTTTAAAAACTTATGTTTGACTTGTAAATGTTTTTACAGTGTGGGCTTTCTGCTTGGTAATCATAGTACAGTTCAGTAAGTTCCCCTGTATTTTCTGCAAAATGGCAGCTGGATTAGAAAATGTGATCAGAGTCAGATGCAATCCCTGTGACAAGGCTATTGGTGGTGTCTTGTCCTTTCATCAGGAGGCATATGACTGTTTTTCACCTTTTTTTAAATGTGAGCAGCTTTTGATCTTCAATGCATAGATTCATTGGGGGGCATTCAAAATGGCAATATTTTAATTTTATTATGGTTTGCTTTTAAATCTAGAATAATTTTATATAGAGATACTTTTAATCTAATAATTTATTAACTAGTGGTACAGTTTATGTAGGAAAGGTAGGTTAAATGTATGATTATTTAACATTATTTACAGTTTTTAGATAATTAGTCTTCTGTCACTTTTTAAAAGTGAACACTTGTTTTTCATGCCATTATAAAATCATGGATTTATATGTATTTGATGTTCTCAATATGTTTCAATTTTTATCTTTATTGAGGCTCGAACTGTATATTGTTTGGCTACAAGAACCTATTTAAGTTGGAACTAGAGTCCTTTTGAGATGATATTCATAGTCTTTGTTAGCTTCATTGCTCTCTGGCATACCAATGGACTCCAGATTTATCTTGTATATTTTCTATTCTATACCTTGAATCAACCATTTATCCAGGAAGTTTGGTTTAAGTAAATGAGAAATAGTATTAAAATGTCACAGTCCTGGGATTCAGAATGCTCATTGCTATTGGATTGGCCATTGTGTCTAGGCATTTTTTATATAAAGGGATTCTAGTAAGAGCAATAAATTCTTATATATAGAATGATTTAATCCATGCTAAGAAATTATCTTCTAAAGATGAACTGGGATCTACTATAAAATAGCTAGTCTGATATTTTCCTTCTTCAGTTTTTTTTTCATTACCCCACAACTAAAACAGTCAATTCTCAATTTTTCGTAGGAGCTTTTAGTAAGTATACATAAACAATGAATGATTCTCAAGCAGACTCTAAAGATCATATGTTTATTCTGATAACTGTGGGTAGCAATGTTCAAGGGTATAGTAAAATCTAACATAGGGGTTGATATGGTTTGGATCTGTGCCCCCGCCCAAATCTCATGTTGAGTTGTAATTTCCAGTGTTAGGAGTGGGGCCTGGTGTGAGGTGATTAGATCATGGGGGGCAGTTTTTCAGGAATGATTTAACACCACCCCCGTTGGTATTTTCTTGGCAGTAGTAAGTGAGTTTTCATGAGATCTGTTTTTTTTTAAAGTGTGTAGCACCTCCCTCCTCTCTCTCTATCTCTTGCTCCAGCCATGTAAGAGAGCTCACTCCCGCTTTACCTTTTGCCATGTGATTGGAAGCTTTCTGAGGCTTCCTGAGAATCAGAAGCTGTTATGCTTTCTGTACAGCCTGCAGAACCATGAGCCAATTAAAATTCTTTTCTTAGAAATTACTGAGTCTCAGGTATTTATTTATAGCAGTTTGACAATGGACAAAAGTCAAAGAAAAAGTTCTCCTTTGCCTTCCGAGGATCCACGAAAAAAATCAACTTGCAAAAGTCTGATTAATTAGAGAAAGGGCATAAAAATTATTAATATGCATGTGGGAGAGAAACACAGGGTGATTACATCCTAATCCCCTCATGGAGTTCAGAAGCTTAAATACCATCTTGATGTTACTGAAAGAATTGGGATTGGAATTTGAAAAAACAGGTTATGGTGGCAAAACAGGTTATGGGAGGTAGAGAAGAGGAGGCTTAGCTAGCAAAAGTGGTCTTGTTATGCAGATGAAACTTCACAGGTAGCAGACCTCAGAAAGAATACATGATAACTGTTTTTTTCAGACCTATAAAAGTGTCAGACTTTCAGTAAATCTTTCCTAGATCTGGATAAAAGGAGGCCTCAGAGAAAATCTGGCTGCAACAATGCAGATTCTCTACAGATGCAAATCTGCCCCCACAAAAGACAACTTTGTAGGGTTACTTCTCTACTTCTCTTTGCTGGATTTCTAAACAGGTGTCTCAAAATACATCAAAGAAATATATTTTGGGGTAAAATATTTTGATTTTCTTTCAGCTTCCACTTTAAAACTTTAAGAACTTTTATATGTTAAAGTAAGGCTTATAGCATTGAAGATATTTTGGTTAGAGTTTATTAGATTAAAAAAGGCAAAGGAATAGAAAGTAACCAAATTAGGATACGCAGAAAACAGCACATTTATATATATATATGTATATCATTCTTAATCAGTCTCTTAGTCCTGAGAATAGATCAGTTTATTTCGGCAGCTGTGTCCCACTCCAGGAGATGCTATTGCAGATGGACTAGGCCTGTATATATCATGCAAGAAAACAGATCTTTAATAAGAAGCATTTCTATAGAAACAAGAAAAACAAAGGTTAATGTCCAGAGTACTCTATAGACTTGTTTTTCTAGAGTCTCTGAAGCGTATTCAGATTGCAGTGGCAAGCTGACAGATTTTTCTGGATAATAACTCAAAGCAAATATTCAATTGAACTTTCTGAGTAGTTGATATATCAGCCAGCATGACAGCTGTTTATGTATCAGTTGCCGTGGTGATTTCTTGTGATGTTTATATCAAGTTGTCTAGCTTCACTTTGCAGGGCTTTAAGAAAAGTAGTTTGATTTTCTAGTGATCACATGTCAAAAAAATTGAAGGAAAATTTGAAAACATTAGTTGGAGACTTGTAGCCAGAGAAGAATGCATGATTCAGTCTAAATTGTAGAAAAATAATAAAAACTGAAAAACAATGGACAAGTCTACAAACAGGTGTACTATAGAGTTTTCCTGAAATATAATTTTTCTCTCGCTAGTTCCCCAATTCTACCAAGAATAAAACATAAGAGGACCAATTTATTTGAAAAGTAAATTTCAGTTCTAATATACTTGGCCTAATTTTTAGCATAAAATTGTGACTGGCCATATAAGCTCTTTAAAGTTGGTTTTCCTGGAATTTTAAAGCAAAGCTTTACAGGTTAAATTTTTAAAACCCTCCAAGGTAGGAAGTAAAGTCAAAGAATCACAATCACATCACATTGTGCCTATATTCTCTGTATAAATTGAATGGATTCCTTTTCTCTTAAGGTCCCAAAATATCTTGAATGAATATCCTGGACATATCAGAGAGTGGCATACTTTACTTACTGCGAGATCACAAACTTTGTAAGGGAACTTTGTAGGCAAGATATGAAGGCAGTCTTTCTAAGGAGTTTTTCATTGGCTATATGAATTCAGTCACATTTCCTCAAAAATATTTGGTCATATCTGAAAATATGTCATTCTAACCAAAGACTTGGTAGCCAGTGTCTACAATTTTATACTCTTACAAAAGAAAAAATACTCTTACTAAACTTCTTCAAATAACTATATTGCCATAAATTTAAAAATCCAAATAGCTTCCAAATTTTGGAGAAATCAAATAAAAAGAAAGATAAATGTATCAACTTTTCTCAAAAAGTATACTTTATCCAATTGTTAGCTATACACAGTTCAAAAGAAAAAAGGTTTCTTGGCTCTGAAAAACAAAATATAAAAATAAGCAGCATGTTTCAATCAAAAAACTCATAACAATGTTATTCCAGTCCTCTATTAATTTAGTCTCATGTAATTAACTCTTGTTCTGCTAGATGTTGGGTTAGCAATCTTCATAAAAGCATCAACTTTTTAGAGTTCTGGAAGTTTTTACCCAATCCAGTGGTATGATCTCAAAAGTTATCAGAACCTAAATTGAAGAGTATTTTTCAGGGTTCTTTCCGTGAATTTCCTTGAAGAAACCGCAAATTACAGACTTTAGTCAATTATAAACTGCTTTTTAAAAACAATGAAATAAAACAATAATTGCTTGTGTATGAGAAAAGACTCAGAATATCCATGATTAAAGACACAGTTGGCAAGGAAATTTGGTTATTTCTGTGGCATACAATTATTTAACATAATAATCATAATTATTTCTGATAAAATGTACTAAGAAATAATAGAATTGTATGACTCCCATACAATTTTGAAATACATATTAATAACCCACTTATATAAGTTAAGCACTATTTTTTTATTTGTTAATGCTTCCCATATGACTTTAACATACAACATAAACCTAATACATCTCTTTTGGACATCCAGGAGCCCTAAAATCTACAATGTTAATTTTAGGTAAAAAAGACCTAATTAAGACTTTCAAATTTGATTTTGGAGGTTATCAAATATCAAAAGTTTAAAACACTTGCTCAAAATCAGATCACAGGTCACTGTAAATTAATAATTTCCCAAACAATCAAAATCTATCTCACTCTCTCCCCTTTTCTTTTGCAGTTTATTTAATAGATAAAAATATTTTACCATCTTTTATTAAGATTACACAAAAATCTTATTCAAAAGAGAAAACCAAGTTCTATCTTTTCATTAGTGTATTATTAATGCTAAAGCTAATTTTAATAGAACTTTATAAATAGATTCATCCAATTTCAATCAGCTTCGAGCATGCACAATCAAATTTCCATACACCCTTTTATAACCTATTACACTTTTTCCCATTTTCTTTCTTTCCCCAGCTTTCTATATGCATTAAGCTTGTTTACTTTTATTACTTCAATGTAAACAACTTTTAAAAATCTGTAAACTAGGAAAAGTTACTTTCCTTTTAACAAAAAAGTACATTTTCATGACTTTTTGTAAACTTTCTTACCAAAAACACACCCAACTTTTCTTATATACTTTGAATGCAGACTGTTATATCTGGCATTTTACATTTTATATATTTCTATATATATTTTTCAATATATTTATTGAAGTATATATATATATAATATACTTCACCGCTATACAATTCATCCATATAACCAAAAACCACACACACACACACACACACACACACACACACACACACACACATATATATATATACTCTCAGTGATCATTTTTAGTGAAAACCCTAGAAAATGAGAAATTTAAATTATGTACCAGATAGATGCAGAGCCCAGGACAAAGTACAGTGGAGTCAATGCCTGGAAGATCCAACCCCTCACAGCATGGCTAGGAAGAACAGCAGGGTCAGGGAGAATGGGGCATGGATGCTGTCCCTAGGCCTCACCATGGCCCCTTGTCTAAACCTCAGAATCAAAGGGCTCAAATTCAAAGACATAAGCTCACTGAGAAAAAATATTGTGGAATCCAAAAGGAGGTAGAGCAAGATATCAGAATAGAAGTCCCCACTGACTCTTCCCACCACAAGGACACAAAGTTAACAGCTGTCTACACAGAAAAAATATCATCATAAGAACCAAAAATTAGGTGAGCACCCATGGAACCTGGTTTTAACATCATATTGTTGAAGGAGGGTCTGGAGACATAGAAAAAACAGTCTTGAATCAGTGACACCACACCTTCCCCACCCCTGGAAGGAGTGGTGTGGAGTGGAGAGGCTCTCTGGACACTGGTGGAGAGAGAACACAGAAATTTTGAAGCATTAAACTCGGTGCTTTCCTGTTACAGCAGAAAGGAAAACCAGACTAAACTCAGTGGACAGGTGTCCATGAAGGCAGCATTTAAACTGGCCCTATTCAGAAAGGATTACTGATCCCAGTGGCCCCAGTTCAAGTTCCCACAAACCTTACCACCAAGGGCTACAGTGTCCTTTGCCTCCAAGTAAACTTGAAAGGCAGCAGAGACCACAAGGACTGCAACTCTTAGACCTCTTAGATGAGTCCTAGTGCTGAACTGGACGCAAACATAGTGGTCTAGGGGGACATATGACCTACTGAATAAAAAGCTGGAATGATTAAGGGAGTGCTGGCATCACTCCTCCCGTAACCCCAGGCTACACAGCTCACAGCTCTGAAAGAGGCCCTTTCCTTCTGCTTGAGGATACAAGAGGGAAGAGTAAGAATAACTTTGTTTTGCATCTTGGATACCAGATCAGCCACAACAGGATAGGGCACCAGTGAGTATTGTGAGGCCCCTGTTCCAAACGCTAGATCCTAGATGATGTTTCTATAAAACCCTGGGCCAGAGGAGAACACACTGCATTTGAAAAAAATTATCCACTTCAGGCAGCATGCATAACTGAGGAGACCTTGGGTTCTAAACAACCAACAGCTATACCCAGGTACTACATCGAGGGCATTGGGTGTGCCTCTGAGACCTGTTGGCTTCAGGTGAGACTCAGCACATTACTAGCTGTAGTGGCTATAAGGCAAAACTCCTTCAGCTTGAGAAAAGCAAGGGGAAAAGTAAAGAGGAGTTTGTCTTGCACCTTAGATACCAACACCACCACAGGAGGATAGAGCACCAAGCAAGCTCTTGAAGTCCCTGACTCCAGGACTTGACTCTTGGCTGGCATTTCTGGACTTGCATGTAAGGCCAGAGGGGAGACCACTGCCCTGAAAGGTGAGTCCCAGGCCAGGCAGCATTCATTCCAAGCTGACTTTAGAGCCCTTGGGCTTTTAAGGAACATCAGTGTAAGTCTAGCAGTACTCCTTGTAGCCTGGGGTGGTGGCAACTATGGGGTGTAGCGCCTCTGCCTTTGGATAGGGGAGGGAAGAGTGGAAAGAACTGCATCCTGTGGTTTGAGTACCAGCTCACACATAGTACAGTAAAATACCAGGTAAACAGCTAATGTTTCTGACTCTAGTTCCTGACTTACAGAAGCACATTTGAACCCACCCAGAGCCTAGGGAAACTCACTGCCCTGAAGAAAAAAACACAGGCCTGGGTGGCTTTTGCCACCAGCTAAATGTAAAGCCTCAGAACCTTGAATAAACATAGGCAGTAACCAAGGAGTGGTTATAGAAAGCCTTGGGCAAGACCCAGTGCTATGTGGGGCTTTGTTTCTGACCCAGTGCATTCATAGTGGTGATGGACACAAAGGAGCTTCTGTCATCCCAGATTTAGGTAGCTCAGAACATAGAGAGAGACTCTATGGTTCAGGAGAAAGTCTGGAAAGAGAATAAGAGTCTCTGTCTGGTAATCCAGAGCATTATCCTGGATCTTTGCCAAGACCATCAAAGTGTTAAGTCTATGAGCCTGTAAAAACCACAGCATTACTGGACTTAGGGTGCTCCCTAATGCAGATACAGCTTAGATCATACCACCGAAATTCTTTCAAAAACCTGGAAGGCCTTCCCAAGAAGAACGAGTACAAATAAACACAGAAAGGGAAGATAATAATAAACACCTAACTACCCAATACTCAGACACTGAAGAACATCTACTAGCATCAATGCCATTCAGGAAAAGATGACCTTACTAAATGAACCAAATAAGGCACCACGAACTAATCCTGGAGAGATACAGACATGTAAACTTTCAGACAGAGAATTCAAAATAGCTGTTTTGAAGAAACTAAAATACATACAAGATTAGACAAAGAAAGATTTCATAATTTTGTTGGATAAACTGAACAAAGAGATTGAAATAATTTTTTAAAAAATCAAGCAGAAATTCTGTAGTTGAAAAGTGCAATTGGCATACTGAACAATGCATCAGAGTTCTTTAATGGTAAAATTAATCAACAGGAGAAATAAATAATGAATTTTAAGAGAGGCTATTTAAAAATATGCAATCATTAGAGAAAAAAACAATAAAGCATGCCAACAGGAACTAGAAAATAGCCTCAAAAGGTCAAATCTAAGAGTTATTGGTCTTCAAAAGGAGTTAGAGAAAGAGATGGGGAAGAAAGTTTGCTCAAAGGGATAACGGGGAACTTCTCAAACCTAGAGAAAGATATCAATATCCATGAACAGAAGATTATAGAAGACCAAGCAGATTTACCTGAAGGCATTTAATAATCAAGCTCCATCTGGTGGCAGACTTATCGGCAGAAACTTTACAGGCCAGACAAGAGTGGCATGACATGTATAAAGTGCTGAAGAAAAAGAACCCTATTACCCTAGAATAGTATATCTGGCAAAAAATATCTTTCACATGTGAAAGAGAAACAGACTTTCCAAGACAAAAGATGATGAGGAATTTCTTCAACACCAGACCTGTCCTACAAGGGATGCTAAAGGGAGGACTTCAATCAGAAAACAAAGGATGAAATGAGCAATAAGCAATCATCTAAAAGTATAAAACTCACTGGTAATAGCAAGTACACAGGAAATGCAGAATAGTACAACACTGTAACTGTGGTTTATAAACTACTCTTACCCTAAGTAGAAAGACTAAATGAGGAACCAATCAAAAACAGTAACTACAAAAACTTTTAAAGATGTAGTTGGTACGTTAAGATATAAAGAGAAACAACAAAATGTTAAAAAGCAAGGGAACAAAATTAAGGCATAGAACTTTTATTCAATTCCCTTTTCATTTTTGTTTGTTTGTTTATGCAAAAAATTAAAAGTTATTATCAGGTTAAAATGATGGGTTATAAGAGAGTATTTGCAAGCCCTGTGGTAATCTCAAAACAAAAAACATACAACAGATACACAAAAAATAAAAGGCAAGAAACTAAATTATATCACCATAGAAAATCACCTTCAATAAAGAAGTTCAGAAATAAATTTTGAAAAGGAAGAGAAGAGTACAATAAAACTAGAAAACAAATAGCAAAATAGCAGGAGTAAGTCTTTCCAATAATAACATTGAATGTAAATGGACTGAACTCCCCTCTCAGAAGACATATAGTAGCTGTATTATTTTGTTCTTGCAATGATATAAAGAAGTACCTGAGACTCGGAAATTTATAATTTATGACTGTAATTCGTAATTTTGGCACCTCCAAAATCTGATGTCTTTCTCTTATTAAAAAATATAATTGTCTATTCTCAACAGTTCCCCAGTCTTACCTCATTTCAACATTAACTCAAAAGTTTCTGAAATCTAGACAGAGGCTCCCAAGCCTCAACTCTTGCCCTCTGTGCACCTGCAGAATTAGTACCACCTGGAAGCTGCCAAATCTTGGGGCTTGCACCCTCTGAAGCAATAGTCCAAACTGTATCTTGGCCCCTGTCAGCCACAGCTGGAGCTGGAGCAGCTGTGGTTCAGGGCACCATGTCCCAAGGCTGCAGAAAGCAGTGGGGTTCTGGGCCTGGCCCACAAAACCATTCTTCCCTCCTAGGCCTCCATGCCTGAGTCTCTTTGCTAAAGTCTAAGAGTGACGTTTACTCTAGTTCCCAATAAGTTCCTCATCTCAATCTGAGACAACCACCTTAGCCTGCACTTCATTGTCCATATCACTGTCAGCATTTTGGTCACAAAAATTTAACAAGTTTCTAGGAAGTTTCAAACTTTGCCTCATATTTTTGTCTTCTTCTGAACCCTACAAACTGTTCCAACCTCTGCCCATTAACCAGTTGCAAAGCTGATCCCACAGTTTCAGGTATCTTTATATCAATACCATACTCCTGGTACCAATTGTTTATATTAGTCCATACTTGCACTACTATAAATTATTACCCAAGACTGGGTAATTTATAAAGAATAAAGGTTTGACTGGCTCACTGTTCTGCAGGCTGTACAGAAAGCATGACTGAGAGGCCTCAGGAAACTTACAATCATGGTGGAAGGTGAAGAGAAAGGAGGCCTGTCGTCATGTGGCCAGAGCAGGAGGAAAAGAGAGAAGGGGCAGGTGATACACACTTTTAAACAATCAGATTTCATGAGAAATCACTATCATAGGAACACCAAGGGGAAAGTCCACCCCCATGATTCAATCACCTCTTACAAGGCCCCTCCTCCAACACTGGGGTTACAACTCGACATGAGATTTCAGCAGGGACAGAAACCCAAACAATATTAGTAGCTGAACAGATTTTTTAAAAAAATACCTATTTATCTGTTGCCTACAAAAACACACTTCACCTATAAAGATACACATGGACTAAAAATAAAGACACAGAGAAAAGATATTCCATGTAAATGGAAACCAAAAAAGACCAAGATTCACTATACTTATATTAATCAAAATAGATTTCAAGATGAAAAATTATAGAAAGAGGCACAGAAGGTCACTATATAATGATAAAGTAGTCAATTCAGCAAGAAAATATTTCAATTTTAAATATATATATATAATGTATTTTTAGGGCTACAGAGGGAGATAGGCCCCAATACAATAATAGCTAGAGACACCAACACCTCACATTCAACATTAGACAGATTCTTCAGACAGAAAATCAACAAATAATCATTGGACTTAATTTGTGCTATAAATCAAGTGAATCTAAAGAATATGCATAGAACACTTCATCCAATGGCTGCAGAACACACATTCTTTTCCTCAGCGTATGGATTATTCTCCAGGATAAACCATATGTTAAGTCACAAAACAAGTCTTAGAACAGTCAAACTATTGAAATAATATCCAACAATTTATCTAAACAGAATGAAATAAAACTAGAAATCCCTAAGAAAAGAAATTTGGGAACTTACACAAATACATCTGATATGGTTTGTTTGTGTCCCCACCCACATCTCATCTTGAATTGTAGCTCACATAATCTTCATGTGTCATGGGAGACTCCTGGTGAGAGGTAATTGAATCGTGGAAGCAGGGTTTTCCCATGCTATTCTCATGATTGTGAATAAGTCTCATGAGATCTGATGGTTTTATAAAGGGGAGGTCTCCTGCACATGCTGTCTTGACTGCCACCATGTAAGATGTGGCTTTGCTCCTCTTTGCCTTCCACCATGATTATGAGGCCTCCTGAGCCATGTGGAACCATGAGTCAATTAAACCTCTTTCCTTTGTAAATTACCCAGTCTTGAGTATGTCTTTATTAGCAGCATGAGAACAGACTAATACAACATGAAATTAATAATATGCTCCTGAACAAAAAGTGGGTCAATAAATAAAGAAGAAAATCAAAAAATTTTTAAACACATGATAATGAAACCACAGCAGACCAAAACCTATGGCCTACAGTAAAAGCAGTGATCATAGGGGAGTTTACAGCAATAAGTGCTTACATCAAAAAAGAGAAAAAGCTTTAAATACAAAATCTAATGAGGCATCTTAAGGAACTAGAAAAGCAAGAGCAAACCAAACCCAAATTAAGTAGAAGAAAATAAATAATAAAAATCAGAGCATAAATAAAATTGAAATGAAATAAAATACAAAAGATCATTGAACAAAAAGTTGCTTATTCAAAAAGTTAAACAAAATTGACAAAGCTTTAGTCAGGCTTACTAAGAAAAAAAAGAAGATCCAAACAAAATCAGAAATTAAAAAGAAGACATTACAACTGATACTACAGTAATTTAAAGGATTATTAGTGGCTACTATAAGCAAATATATGCCAGTAAAATAGAAAATATATATATAAAAAAATGGACAAATTCCTGGACCTGCAAGCTACTAAGATTCAACCAGGAAGAAATCCAAAACCTGAACAGACCAATATCAAGTAATGAGATCAAAGCCATAATAAAAAGTCTCCCAGCAAAGAAAAGGTCGGGACCTGACGGTTTCATTGCTTAATTAATCCAAACATTTAAAGAAGATCTAATATCAATCAAACTCGAGCTGTTCTAAAAAATAGAGGAGGGAATAATTCCAAACACATCCTATGAGGTCAGTAATTACCCTGATACTGAAACCAGAAAAAGACACATCAAAAAAAAAAGAAGAAGAAAACTATAGGCCAATATCTCTTATGAGTATTGATCCAAAAATCCTCACCAAAATACTAGCAAATGAAATTCAACAATACATTACGAAGATTATTTGTCATGACCAGGGTTAAAGTAGGATTTAATCGTGGGATGCAAAGATGTTTGAACATACACAAATTAATCAATATGATACACCAAACCGAGAGATTGAAGATCATTTCAATTGATTCTGAACAAAGTTGATAAAATTGAACGTTGCTCATAATAAAAACCCTCAAAAAACTGGGTATAGAAGAAATTTGCCTCAACATAATTAAGGCCATTTACAACAGACCCACAAATAGTATCATACTGAATGGAGAAAAACTGAAAGCCTCTTATATAACATCTGGAAGACAACATGGATGCCCTGTGTCACCACTGTTATTCAACATAGTACTGGGAGTCCTAGCTGGAGCAACCATACAAGAGAAAGATATAAAGTGCACCCAAATTAAAAAGGAAGAAGTCAAATTATCCCTGTTTGCAGATGATATGCTTTTACATTTGGAAAAACCTAAAAATTCCACTAGAAAATTATAAGAACTGATCAATTTCAGTGAAGTTTCAGGATACAAAATCAATATACAAAAACCAGTAGCATTTCTATATGCCAGCAGTGAAAAATTTAAAATATAAGTGAAAAACAATAGTCACAAGTAAAATGTAATACCTAGGAATTAACCAGAGTGAATGATCTCTTAATGAAAATTGTAAAACTGAAGGAGACAACAAAAAATTTAAAAAATATTCTATGTTCATGGATTGGGAAAATCACTATTGGTAAAATGTCCATACTATCCAAAGCAATCTGCAGATTTAATGCAATCCCTATTAAAATATCAATGACATTCTTCATGGAAATAGAAAAAAAAATCATGCAATTTATATGGAAACATCAAATGCCTGGAATAACCAAAGCTACCCTGAACAAAATGAACAAAACTGGAAGATCACCTTACCTGACTTCAAATTATGCTACAGAGCTATAGTAACCAAAGAGCATGATACTGGCATAAAAGCAGACACATCGATGAATGGAAAACTATAGAGAACCCAGAAACAAATCCACATACCTACAATCAACTAATTTTTTACAAAGACGCCAAGAACACATGCTGGGGAAAAACAGTTTCTTCAATAAATGTTACAGGGAAAACTAGTTATCTGTATTCAAAAGAATTAAACTAGACCCCTATCTCTTACCATATATAAAAATCAAATCAAAATAGATTAAGGGCTTAAATTTAAGACCTCAAATCATAAAACTACTACAAGAAAATATTGGGAAAAATCTTCATGACATTGGTCTGGGCAAAAATTTGTTGAGTAATATGCAAGTGCAGGTAATCAAAGCAAAGATTGACAGATGTGATCACATTAAGTTAAAAAGCTTCTGCAGAGCAAAATATACAATCAACAAAGTGAAGAGACATTCACGAAATGGGATAAAATATTTGCAAGCTACCCATCTGACCAGGAATTAATAACCATAATCCCCCATTTAAGGAGCTCAAGCAACTCTATAGGTAAAAATCCAATAATCTGATCAAACAAAAGGGCAAACATTTGAATAGACATTTCATAAAAGATATACAAATGACAAATAGACATATGAAAAGATGTTCAACATCATTAATTATTAAAGAAATGCTCTATCCTCTTTATGACAGAATAACACAGAAAAGACAAAGTCAAAGGAAAACACTATTTCTGGGAAAGAAGGGATCAAGGGTAGGAAAATTCATACCATAAAGTGCACCAGAGTTGCTACATCCAAGACTACTTACACTAATTGTGTTCTCCCATTATATAAAATTTTGCAGAAAATAAAGAGAATAACAGTGATTTCTACCATGTGCTTGGTAAGAAATTCTTACACTTCTTCTGGCTTATTAGATTCTGGGTTCCATTCACTGCGATTTCAGGAAGAGCAGAGCTTTGGTATACTGTGCACAGTGCCAAAACAGTCAGGGTCACGGGAAAACTTCCTCTTTACTCTCTGAAGTTTCACTAAAAAATCAACTTACAAGTGGCAGATTAACTGGAAAAAAGGCGTACAAATTTATGAATGTGCACATGGGGGAGAACAGTAGTTATTATATCCCAGCCCCCTAATGGGATTCAGAAGCTTATATACCGTCTTGAAGTTACTGAAAGAATTGGGGCTTGGCATAAAAAAGTGCAAAATAATGTATTTTGCAGCAATTTGGATGAAATTGGAGGCCATTATTCTAAGTGAAGTAACTCAAGAATGGAAAACAAAATACTGTATGTTCTGACCTATCAGTGGGAGCTAAGCTATGAGTACACAAAACCATGCAGAATGGTATAATGGACATTAGAAACTCAATAAAAGAGTGGGTGGGAGTGGGGTGATAGATTAAAAAAAACCTACATATTGGGCGCAGTGTACACTACTCAGTTGATGGATGCACAAAAATCTCAGACTTCACCACTATACAATTCATCCATATAACCAAAAACCACATATATCCTAAAGCTATTGAAATAAAAAAGAATGGGCATGGCCTGGGCACCATGGCTCAAACCTGTAATCCCAGAACTTTGGGAGGCCAAGGTGGGCTAATCACTTGAGGTCAGGAGTTCCAGACCAGCGTAGCCAACATGGTGAAAACTTGTATCTATTAAAAATACCAAAAAAATTTAGCTGTGTGTGGTGGCACCCGCCGGTAGTGCCAGCTATGGGGGAGGCTGAAGCATGAGAATCACTTAAACCTGGGAGACAGAGGTTGCAGTGAGCCAACATCATGCCTCTGTACTCCGGCCTGGGTGACCCAGGAGACTCCATCTCAAATAAAATAAAACAAAATAAATAAAATAAAATAAAATAAAATAAAATAAAATAAAATAAAAAAGAATGGAGGCTTGGATCCTGGAAAAACAGGTTATGGAAAAGATGAGAAGAGGAATTGTGTTGAGGGGCAATAAATGATTACTAGGGAGAATGAGTAGATCAGGGTACACGAATAGTTCTCTTCGGAAATTGAATAATCCTTATAGATATATCTTTTAAACGGGTCTGTTCTGGTGTGGTTATATAATTGGTCTTCTTTTCTGCAATAGACAATAAGATAACTCACAGGGGAGAAGAAAAACAATTATTTTCCTTGGTAGGTCCAGACTTCAGACAGATAAAGGAATTTCAGAAAACAATTTCATCCTGTGCTGTGGGAGAGACCAGTGGGTATGTCGGGGTCAGCAAGACTTTCAGGCTTCATCATCAGTTTAGCATGTTATAGTGCCATATTTTGGGGTATCAGTTTCTGGGTCCTGACACTCCAACTTTCCAGTTGGGGTTCAGCAGCTTACGTACAATCTTGAAGTTACAGAAAGAATGGGGTCTGAGACTATGACCAAATACTGGTTAAGACAGTAAATCCGGTTATAGTGGTAAGACACATTATGAGATGAAAAGAAGAGGAGGTTTGCCTAGCAAAATGATTCTTATGTAGATGAAAGCACAGAGGTAGCAGCCCTCAGAATAGATGGCAAATGCTTCTTCAGACATTTAAATGTTTCAAACTCAGTTGATCTTTCCTAGATAAAGGGAAACCTCAGAAAAAAATCTGGCTGCATTAGTACAGATTCTCTACAGATGCAAATCTCCCTCTAAAATCAAGGAAGGTTATTTCTATTTGCTGGCTCTCCTAACCACCATCTCAAAATATGTCAAAGTAGTGTATTTTGGGGTAAAATACATAATTTCCTTCAATAATAACATATGAAAGAGAAAATATGAATATCTTATAAGCTAACTTGAAAATAATTTTTTTTAAATGCGTACCAAAGATTGTACACCATGGGAGACCATTAGTTACAAGGAAGTGCCCAAGAGTATGTCAGCAGAAGCCTTCACAAGTTTATTGGTGGCTGCTATAGTCTTAAGTTAAGCAGGGTATCAAAAAGACACTGTAATAAGCTATGAGTCATTGGCGGTTTCTATGTAGCTGAGTTGAAACAGCAAAGGCCTGACCTGATCACTCTGAATAATCAGAGACAAAAAGGTTTACAATAAGTAGTTAGATGTCAGAGAAGAGGATATTGAAAAACTAACTTTAGTTTGCAAAATTCTAGTTTCCAGTTCAGTTTGGGATTCCAATAGAGGGTTTTTTCAATGAGAACTTAAATTATCAATAGATCTCTTAGTTTATTAAACTTCTTTTTCTTTATAAATGACCACGTCTCAGGTATTTCTTCATAGCAGTATGAAAATGGACAAATATAGTAAATTGGAACTGGGAGTGAGGCACTGCTACTAAGATGCCTAAAATGTAAAAATGACTTTTGAACTGAGAAATAGGCAGAGGTTGGAATAGTTTGGAGGGCTCAGAAGAAGACAGGAAGACGTGGGAAAGTTTGGAGCTTCCTAGAGACTTGTTGAATAGTTTTGACCAAAATGCTGATACTGATATCAAAATGAAGTCCAGACTAAGGTGGTTTCAGATGAAGATGAGGAACTTACTGGAAACTGGAGCTAAGGTGATTCTTGCTATGCTTTAGCAAAGAGACTGGCAGCATTTTGTCCCTACCCTAGAGATCTGTGGAACTTTGAACTTGAGAGAGATGATTTAGGGTATCTGGTGGAATAAATTTCTAAGCAGCAACATGTTCAAGACATTGCCTGGGTGCTCTTTAAAGCATTCAGTTTTATTCATTCACAAAGATATGGTTTGGAATTGGAACTTACGTTTAAATGGGAAGCAGAACATAAAAGTTTGGAAAATTTGAAGCCTGACAATGTGATAGAAAAAAAAAGTTTTTTGAGGAGAAATTCAAGCCAGATACAAAAATTTGCATAAGTAATAAGGGGCCAAATGTTAATCATGGATAACAGGGAAAATGTCTCCAGGGCATGTCAGAGGTCTCCACAGCAGCCCCTCCCATCACAGGTCCAGAAGCTTAGGAGGAAAAAATTGTTTTGTGAGCCAGACGCGGGGCCTTGCTGTTTTGTGCAGTCTCAGGACTTGGTGCCCTGCATCCTAGCCTTGGCTAAAAGATGCCAACATAAAGCTCAGGCTGTTGCTTCAGAAGAAGCAAACCCTAAGCCTTGGCAGCTAAAACGTGATATTGGGCCTGTGGGTGCAGAAAAGTTAAGAATTGAGGTTTGGGAACCTCCACCTAGATTTCAGAGGATGTATGGAAACACCTGAATGGCTAGGCAGAGGTGTGCTACAGGGACAGAGCCCTCATGGATAAATTCTGCTAGTGCAGTGTGAAAGAGAAAGGTGGGGTGTGAGCCCCCACACAGAGTCCCCACTGGGACACTGCATAGTGAAGCTGTGAGAGGAGGGCCACCTTCCTTCAAACCTGAGAGTGGTAGATTCTCCAACAGCTTGCACTGTGCACCTGGAAAAGCTGCGGACACTCAATGCCCACCAATGAAAGCAGCCAGGAGGGGAACTGTACCCTGCAAAGCAAAAAAGGAAGAGCTGGGAGCTCTTTTCCATGGGAGCTTACTTCTTGCATCAGCATAACCTGCATGCGAGACATGGATTCAAAGGAGATCATTTTGGTGCTTTAAGATTTGACTGCCCCACTGGATTTTGGACCTTCATAGGGCTGGTAGCCCTTTCTTTTTGGCCAATTTCTCCCATTTGGAATGGATGTATTTACCCAATACTTATACCCCCATTGTATCCAGAAGTGATTAACTTGCTTTTGATTTTATATGCTCATAGGTGGAAGGGACTTGCCTTGTCTCAGATGAGACCTTGAATTGTGGACTTTTGAGTTGATGAAATGAGTTAAGACTTTGGGGGACCATTGGGAAGGCATCAGTGGTTTTGAAATGTGAGGACATGAGATTTGGGAAGGTCCAGAGATGGAATGATATGGTTTGGCTGTGTCCCCACCCAAATCTCATCTTGAACTGCAGCTCCCATAATCTCCACATGTTGTGGAGGGACCCGGTGGGAGGTAATTGAATCATGGGGATGGGTTTTTGTCATGCTGTTCTCATGATAATGAATAAGTCTCGTGAGATCTGATGGTTTTATACAGGGCAGTTGCCCTGCACAAGTTCTCTTGCCTTCCACCATGTAAGATATGCCTTAGCTCCTCCTTCACATTCCGTCATGATTGTGAGGCCTCCACAGCCATGTGAAACTGTGTGTTCATTAAACCTCTTTTTCTTTATAAATTACCCAGACTTGAGTATTTCTTCACAGCAGTATGAAAATGGACTAATACACATGCAATATGAGAAATCTCGTTGAAGCAATCTTGAAAAAGGCAGTTTGGCTCACTATGCCATCTGATGGTAAATAATATTATGGCATTTGTTACATGTGTTAAATATAAAAATCTCAGAACATATGTACTCTCAAAGTATAAATTAACTTATATTTAATACAAAAGAAAGAAACCCACCTTTGACTCACAGCACAAATAAAAATGTTGATATACTAAATGTATGTATTTGATATATTAAAATGTATAGTATTTCATCACCAAGTTACCTTCAAACTCTTTTTCTCATCTCTCCAAGAGTCGTATTTAACCCAATACTACAGAAATTTAGATGTAAAAACTTTTTTCAACTTGATAATTGTTTGATCTGACAATGAAAAATTACATATATCTCTGTTTCTCCGCTGAAATAGAAAGAATGTACTTGCTGCTAACTGAATATTTTTCACAACTAGTAATATAAAATAGAGAAGAACTAATTTATACCTAATACTAATGCAATATTCAGTGAATGAATGGTCTGTTTGAGAATACATTTTCTTACACTTCTCTGAATCAAAGTAAGACTAGAGGTTTTATATTGATAACACAAATTACCAGCAACGAAAGAAATACATTAACTGCAAACTAACTGTTATTTATTCTACAAATACTTATTAAGTATCTATTATGTGTCAGACACTGCTCCAGGTATGTAGGATGTAGTATTGAACAAATCAGAAGGCTTTTCATTATGGAGTTTAAATTCTAATGAAGAGGACAGGGATGACAGAGAATGAACAATAAAGAGATTAATGCCTAACCAAATGTTATATAGTAATGAGTACTATGAATAAACATAAAATAAGTCAAGATGATAGAGGATAATGTATGTTGGTGACTATTTTAGGATGGTCAGAGATGGCCTTTCTGAAAAGATGACATTTGAGCAATGTATAACATTGGAAACAATTTCAATTAAAATTATCAAACTAGAAACAGTCATAAACGTATAAGTTAGAAAGCATGTAAAAATGCAATAAAAAAGAACTTGCCATTAGAAATGAAACTGACCTAAGCTTTTCTTAAATCTTCAAAAGACTTAGAGCAGGGTTTCTTAATTCGCTGCACAGTTGATTCCCTGGAAGACTTTAAAATTTACTGATGTCTGGGTCCCACAAATAGAAATCTGATTTTATTGGACCGGGGAGCAGTCTGAGAATTAGAGATTTTTTAAGCTCCCCAGTTGATTATAATCTGCAGCCAAGGTTGCAAGGCATTGATTTCTAAAGTATTCAAGAAACTACACATGGAATTTATACATTTAAATTTAATCATGTTTCTCCATTCTTATCTGCTTTCTGGTGAAGATACTAATCATCAGTAAAGCGGACAATAGGTATGCAAAGGCTGAGAAGAATGTGAAGGTGCTTAATTATTCTTGAAAAATCAAAAGTAGCTACAGTGCAAACTTTCTCTGTCAAACACATATGCAACAACATTGAAGTAAAACCTAACACTGAAGATTATTTCCACATGTCTAGACAATCCTAAGCGATGCCTCAATTATGCAGGTGAAAAAGTTCAAGACAGTTACCTCTTTATTCATCCCATTATTATCACTGTTCTTCATCATACGTTTATCCCAGGGGCTACAGCGAAGATTTTATCCCAGGGGCTAGCTTAGTGTTTATTTAGATCTCTGAAAAAGTTTTCCACCAGTCTAAAAGTCAAAATAGTCTCTATTCTTAAAAAAAGTCTTATTTTTTCAAGTGAAATTATGAATCTGTTCTTCACCCAAGATTAAAACTCCAGAGTTTAAGTGGGTAAAGTGTTATTTCAGACAAATCATCTGTGACACTTAGAGCATGTGCAGCTTTCAAAATCTAAAATCATACACTTGGAGAAAAGTTACTTGGAGAGAAGCAGTACCTGGTTTAAACTTGCATCATTAGCACCTACTTTTTGAGTAATCATCTCAATCAGGCATAGAAAGAAAACAAAATTGACTGTAATACTCCTGTGAGTGGGAGAAAAAGATAGGTAACAGCTGTTTTCTTCTATAATCATCTTACACTTACAGATTAACTGAAAGCTTTTTGATATTTCAGAAACATATCCAGGGTGTACTACAAACTAAATAAACGACCCATTCTGTTATTACCATCTGTATTCAGCTAAACACTTTCCGCCAAGAAAGTAACATAAAACTATATTTAAGGTACACCATAAAAATATCCTTTTTTTTTTTTGAGACGGAGTTTCACTCTTGTTGTTCAGGCTGGAGTGCAGTGGTGCGATCTTGGCTTACTGCAACCTCTGCCTCCCAGGTTCAAGTGATTCTCCTGCCTCATCTTCCTGAGTAGCTGGGATTACAGGTGCCTACCACCATGCCCAGCTCATTTTTAGTAGAGACAGGGTTTCACCATGTTGGCCAGGCTGGTCTCAAATTCCTGACCTCAGGTGACTCACCTGCCTTGGCCTCCCAAACTGCTGAGATTACAGGTGTGAGCCACGGAGCCCGGCCCATAAATACATCTTAAGCAAAGTTTTCAAGATTGATCTTATGATTATTTTGAATAAAAGAAAAACTCATTTCTACCAATGGGCTTTCATATCAAAAGAAGTAAGTTTTAAAAATATAAACATATAATCATTCCCAATAATATCCATCATGGTATTTTTTTTTTTTTTTTTTTTTTTTTGAGACAGAGTTTCACTCTTATTGCCCAGGCTGGAGTGCAATTGCGCAATCTCGCCTTATTGCAACTTCCGACTCCCTGGTTCAAGTGATTCTCCTGCTTCAACCTCCCAAGTATCTGAGATTACAGGCATGCGCCCCCATGCTGGCTAATTTTTTATATAGTAGAGACGGGGTTTCACCATGTTTGTCAGGCTGGTGTTGAGCTCCTGACCTCAGGTGATCCACCCTCCTCAGCCAACCAAAGTGCTGAGATTACAGGCACGGACCACCACACCTGGCCCATCATGGTCTTTAAAATGTCAGATGTAGACTATATTTATTTTTAAGCCAATTAATAACTTTTCTTTTTCAAACTAGTTTATTAAAGTCTGGTGTTTTGTTTTTTTTTTCCTTTTAAATAATATTTTGAACTTATTTAATAATGTGCTAGGAAATTCCTTTGTTTTTCTGAACAAATTGATCTTTCTGTGTGCAGATAAGACATCTTTAGCTTAGCAATTTGATTCTCTAATCTCTATCCTCCCATATTTTCACGTGGTATCTAAGGTTTTCCCTGTTTACTTTTTATAAAACATGTCCAGAAAATAAATGAAAAACTAAAACTATGTCCAAAGCAAAATATAATACCTTAGAAATTATTTCTTTTCTACAACTACCTCACAATAATAGGTACATCTGGAATAGAAATTTATAATTACTGAGCACCTATTCAATTCATCATTTTTACTTATAGGTGAGAAACCTAAGATTGAAAAAATTTATCTTGTCCAAGATACAGCCAGTTGGTGGGAGGACTAATATTCAAATCCAGATCAGATCCAGATATATTCCATTGTATATATGTAACACATTTCCTTTATTACATATTTAAATCAAGATCATTCAGACTCCAAATTCATATTCTGTCCACTGAACCACATTAACATTACCATCTATTTTTAACCTCACTGGCAGAAGTCGGGGTGGAATGGGAGAGGAGGATTGGGGACATAAATGCACACCACTCCTGGAATTCTAAAATTGATTCTGATTTTATTCTCTACCATTATAAGAATATGTATGTAAAACTTAAAGTGTGTGATATGGGAACTATTTCCTTTTTTACTTTTAATAACTGTTTCATTTTATTTAAAAATATTTTCAATTTTTGTGTGTATATTGTAGGTGTACATATTTGTGGGGCACATGTCATGTTCTGATACAGGTATGCAATGCATAATAATCACATCATAGAAAATTGGCTATCCATCTCCTCAAGCATTTATCTTTTGTGTTACAAACAATCCAATTATATACTTTCACTTATTTTAAAATGTAAAATTAAATTATAATTGACTATAGTCAACCTGGTGTGCTATCAAATAGTAGGTCTTATTCATTCTTTCTATTTTTTGTACCCATTAACCACCCCACCTCCCCGCAAGCCCCCAACTATCTTTCCTAGACTCTGGTAACCAACCTTCTACTGTCTATGTTCATAAGTTTAATTGTTTTGATTTTAGGATCCCACAAATAAGTGAGAATATGTGATGTTTTTCTTTCTGCGCCTGGCTTATTTCACTTAACATAATGATCTCCAGTTCCATCCATGTTGTTCCAAATGAGTGGATCTCATTCTTTTTTGATCTAAATAGTTCTCTATTGTGTATATGTGCCACATTTTTTTATACATTCATCTGTTAATGGACACTTAGGTTGCTTTCAAAACTTGGCTATTGTGAACAGTGATGCAACAAACAGGAGTACAGATATCACTTTGAGATACTGGTTTTCTTTCTTCTGGGTATATACACAGCCATGTGATTGCTGGATCATATGGTAGCTCTATTTTTATTTTTTTGAGGAACTTCCAAACTATTCTCCATAGTGCTCATATTAATTTACATTCCACTCAATGGTGTATGAGGATTCTCATTTATGCACATCCTCTCCAGCATTTGTTATTACCTGTCTTTTGGATATAAGCCATTTTAACTGGGGAAAGATAATATCTCATTGTAGTTTTGATTTGCATTTCGCTGATGATCAATTATGTTGACCAACTTTTAATATGCTTGTTTGCCATTTCTATGTCTTCTTTGAGAAATGTGTATTCAAATATTTTGCCCATTTTAAAAATCATATTATTAGATTTATTTCTATAGGGTTGTTTGAGCTTTTCATATATTACCTTTATTAATCCTTTGACAGATTGGTAGGTTTCAAATATTGTCTCCCATTCTGTTGGTTGTTTCTTTAACATGTTGATTGTTTACTTTGTTGTACATAAAGTTTTAACCTTAATGTGATCCCATTTTTTCATTTTTGGTTAGTTGCCTGTGCTTGTGGGGTATTGCTCAAGAAACCTTGCCGAGACCAGTGTCTTGGAGATTTTTCCCCAATGTTTTCTTGTAGTAGTTTTACAGTTTGCAGTCTCAGATTTTAGTTTTTAATCCATTTTGATTTGATTTCTATATATGAAGAGAGACAGGGATGTAGTTTCATTCTTCTCTATATGGAGATCCATTTTTCCCAGAACCATTAATTGAAAAGACTGACTATTCCCCAGTGTATGTTCTTGGCAAATTTCTTGAAAGTGGGTTTACTGTAAGTGTGTGAATTTCCTTCTGGGTTCTCCATTCTGTACCATTGGTCTATGTATCTGTTTTTATGCCACTACCATGCTGTTTTGGTTATATAGATCTGAAGTATAATATGAAGTTAGGTAATGTGATTTTTTTCAATTTTTTTCTTTTTGCTCAGGAGAGCTTGGCTATTCTGGGTTTTTGTGGTTTCATATAAATTTTAGGATTTTTTTTCTGTTTCTGTGAAAAATACCATTGGTACTTTGTTAGGGATTGCATTGAATCTTTAGGATTGCTTTGAGTAGTATGGACATGTTAACAATATTGATTCTTCCAATCTATCAATATAAAATATTTTTCCATTTTTGGTGTCCTCTTCAATTTATTTCATCAGTGTTTTATAGTTTTTATTACAGAGACCTTTCACTTTGGTAAATTCTAGATATGTAATTTTAGTTGTGGCTATTGTAAATTGAATTTCTTTTTTATTTCTTTTTCAGGTTTTTCACTATTGGCGTATACAAATGCTAATGATTTTTATACATTGATTTCATATCCTGCATCTTTGCTGAAATTGTTTTATCACTTCTAATAGTTTTCTTATGAAGTCTTTAAGATTTTTCAAACATAAGATCATGTTATTTGCAAACAAGTATAATTTGACATTTCTTTCTGATTTGGATGCTCTTTAGATCTTTCTCTTGTCTGACTGCTCTAGCTAGGACTCCTAGTACTATGTTGAATAACAGTGGTGAAAGTGGACATTCTTATTATGTTCCAGATCTTAGAGGAAAGTTTTTTGGTTTTATTCCCCATTCAGTATGATACTAGCTATGTGTCTGTCATATATGGCTTTAATTATGCTGAGGTATGTTTATTATCTACTCAGTTTTTTGACAGTTTTTATTATAAAGAGATGATGAATTTTATCAAATGCTTTTTCATCATAAATTAAGATGTTCATATGGTTTTTATCTTTCATTCTGTTGATATGATGTATCACATTGATTGAAGAGTGTATTTTGAACCATCCTTGCATCCCAGAGATAAACATTGCTTGGTCTTGATGAATTATCTTTGTAATGTATCGTTGAATGTGGTTTGTTAGTATTTTGTTGCGCATTTTTGCATCAAAATTTATCAGAGATATTGGCTTGTAGTATTGTTTTTTGATGTGTCTTTGTCTGTTTTTTTGTATAAAGGTAATACTGGCATTGTAGAGTGAGTTAGGAAGGATTTCCTCCTCTTCTATTTTTCAGAAAATATTGAGTCAGATTGGTTTTAGTTCTTCTTTAAGTGTTTGGTAGAATTCACCAGGGAAGCCATCAGGTCCCTGGATTTTCTTTAGTGGGAGACATGTTATTATGGCTTTGATCTTTTTACTTTATACTGGTCTGTTCAGGTTTTGGATTTCTTTCTGGTTCAATCTTGGTAGGCTGTATGTGTCTAGGTATTTTCCAATTTATTGCCATATAGATTCTCATAGTAGCCACTGATGATAAATAAATATGATAAATAAAATTTGCATTTGAATTTATGCAGTGCCAGTTGTAATGTCTCTTTTTATTCATTTTTGGTTTTATTTATTTGGATTGTCTCTTTTCTTAGTCTGACTAAATTTTTGTCAATCTTGTTTAACTTTTCAAAAAGGCAACTTTTTGTTTCATTGATCTTTTGTATTATTTTTTATTTCAATTTCATTTATTTATTCTGATCTTATTATTTCTTATCTTCTAGTAATTTTGGGTTTTGTTTGCTGTTGCCTTTCTAGTTCTTTAAGATGCATTGTTAGATTGTTTATTTGAAGTTTTTCCCCATTTTTAGGTACTTATAAACTTCCCTCTGAGTACTGCTTTTGCTCTACCCAGTAGGTTTTGATATGTTGTATTTCCATTATTATTTGTCACAAAATATTTTTCAATTTTCTACTTAATATCTTCATTGACCCACTGGCCATCCAGGAGCATCCTATTTAATTTCCATGTATTTTTATAGTTTCCAAAATTGCTCCTGTTATTGATTTGTAGTTTCATTCCATTGGGGTCAGAGATGATGCTTGATACTATCTAATTTTTTTGAATTTTTAAAGATGTTTTGTGACCTTATATATGGTTTATTCTTGGGAATAATCCATGTGCTGAGGAAAAGAATGTGAATTCTGCAGCTGTCAGATGAAATGTTCTGTACATATCTATTAGATTCATTTGGTCCATAGTGCAGATTAAGTCCCATGTTTCTTATTTTTTTTTCTTCTTTCTCTCTGGAAAATTGTTTCATTGCTGAAAGTGGGGGGTTTATGTCTCCAGCTATTATTGTATTGGGGCCTATCTCTCTCTTTAGCTCTAACAATATTTGCTTCATATATCTGAGTGTTCCAAGGTTGGATGCATATATATATTTCATTTATCTTCTTGCTCAATTAACCCCTTTATCATGTAAACGTCTTTGTCTTGTCTCACAGTTTATATCTTTAAATCTATTTTTTACTGATGTAAGTATAGTGACTCCTGCTCTATTTTTATTTCCATTGGCATAGAATAGCTTTTTCCATCTCTTTCTTTCAATATATATGTGTATTTATAGATGAAGTGTATCTCTTGCAGGTGATAAATCAGTAGGTCTTGTTTTTTCATACATTAAGCCACTCTATGTCTTTTGATTGGAAAGTTTAGTCCATTTACATTAAAAGTTATTACTGAGAAGTAAGGACTTACTCCTGCTATTTTGTTACTTGTTTTCTTGTTGGTTTGTCCTTTTTTCATTTCTTTCTGTATTTCTTTAGTGAAGTTCATTTTCTATGACTATATGATTTAGTTTCTTGATTTTTATTTTATGTGTATTTTTTGTATGTTTTTTTATGTTACCATGAGGTTTGAAAATATTACCTTAGAATGCATTATTTTAACTTGATAACAACTTAACTATTTGCATACAACACAAACGTGCAAAAAAATTAAGAATTCTCTGCACCTTAACTTTGTCCCCCTATTTTTTAACTTTTTGTTATTTTAATTTATATCTTATTCTACCGTGTATGTCTTAAAATGTTGTTTTAGGTGGGACTGTAAACTAGTTCAACCATTGTGGAAGTCAGTGTGGCGATTCCTCAGGGATCTAGAACTAGAAATACCATTTGACCCAGCAATCCCATTACTGGGTATATACCCAAAGGATTGTAAATCATGCTGCTATAAAGACACATGCACATGTATGTTTATTGCGGCACTATTCACAATAGCAAAGACTTGGAACCAACCCAAATGTCCAACAATGATGGACTGGATTAAGAAAATGTGACACATATACACCATGGAATACTATGCAGCCATAAAAAGGGATGAGTTCATGTCCTTTGTAGGGACGTGGATGAAGCTGGAAACCATCATTCTCAGCAAACTATCACAAAGACAAAAAACCAAACACCGCATGTTCTCACTCATAGGTGGGAACTGAACAGTGAGAACACATGGACACAGGAAGGGGAACATCACACACCAGGGTCTGTTTTGGGGTGGGGGGAGGGGGAAGGGATAGCATTAGGAAATATACCTAATGTTAAATGAGGAGTTAATGGGTGCAGCACACCAACATGGCACATGTATACATATGTAACAAACCTGCACGTTGTGCATATGTACCCTAAAACTTAAAGTATAATTAAAAAAAAAAAGAATGCATTTTAGAACAGTATGTGGAATGGAAGATACAACTGCAACCATCTTTGGAAAAATAAAATCTATGTGGCACAAGGGCACTCCCAACAAATGTTTTCAGAATAAAAAAAAAATGAGAACAATGTAAGTGCTATATAAATAATTGCTGTACTGTATTGTTTTAAAATTTGCATTATTTTTATTATTGTATTCTTATTTTTAAAATATTTTCCATTTGTGGTTGGTTGAATCAGTGGATGTGGAACCCATGGAAATGGATAGCCAATTGTATATTATGACTTATGTAATCAGTATCCTTTTGAAAGACTTAAATGATGGTCCAATACTATACCACTTTTTGAAAAAAAAAGGTTGTTTTAGTTATTATTTTTTGTTGGTTTATCATTTACTCTTTTCATTTAGGATAAGAGTAGTTTGCACACCACAGTTACAGTGTTATAATATTCTGTGTTTTTTTGTGTACTTTCTAATACCAGTGAGTTTTCTACCTTCAAGTGATTACTTACTGCTCATTAACATCCATTTCTTTCTGATTGAAGTATTCCATTTAGCACTTCTTTTAGGTCAGGTCTGGTGTTGATAAAATTTTTCAGTTGACATTTGTCTTGGAAAGTCTTTATTTATTCTTCATTTTTAAATAATATTTTCACTGGATATACTATGCTAAAGTAAAAGCTTTTTTTGTTTTCCTTCAGCATTTTAAATACGTGACAACGTTCTAACATTTCTAATAAAAATTCTCCTGCCAGGCGTATTGGAGCTCCATTTTATTTCAGTTTTTTTGCTCTATTGCCTTTTTTTTTTAGAACTATTTCTTTATCTTTGATCTCTAGAAGTTTAATTACTAAAGACCTTGAGGTAGTCTTCTTTGGGTTAAATCTGCTTGCTGTTCTATAATCTTCTTATACTTGGATATAAGTATCTTTCTGTTGATTGGGGAAGTTTTTGTTATTATGCCTTTGAATACACTTTCCACTCCTATCTCTCTACCTCCTCTTTAAGGACACCAACTCTGAGATTTGTCATTTTGAGGCTATTTTCTGAATCCTGTAGATGTGCTTCATTGCTTCTTACTTTTCTTCTCTCCCCCGTGTATTTGCAAATATCCTATCTTCACTCTCACTATTTTTTTTCTTCTGCTTGATCAATTGTGCCATTAAAAGGCTCTGATGAATTCTTTCAGTATGTATACTTTATTTTCCAGCTTCAGGATTTCTGCTTGATTTTTAAAAATTATTTCCATCTCTTTCAAATTTATCTGATAGATTTCTGATTTCTTTTTCTGTGGTATCTTGAATTTTTTTGAGTTTCTTCAACACAGCTATTTTGAATTCTGTCAGAAAGGTCACATAACTCTGTTTCTGCAGGATTATTCCCTGGTGGCTTATTTAGTTCATTTGGTGAGGTTATGTTTTGCTGAAACATCCTTATGTTTGTGGATGTTCATCCGTGTCTGGGCATTGATGTGTTATGTATCTATTGAAGTCTTCATGGTCTGTGTTTGTGTCTACCCATTCTTCTTAGAGAGTATTTCTTAATATTCAAAAGAAACTGGGTATTGTGATTTATGCTATATCTGTTTTAATGGCAACCCTAGTAAAGTAACAGTGTGGTTCTTCCACACTCATAGAGGTATCACCTTGATCATTTTGGACATGATTTGGGAGAATTCTCTAGAGTAGAATTCTCTAGATTACCAAGTGTTCTCTTCCCTTTCTTTCACCCAAACAAATGGAGTCTCTCTCTCAGTTCTGAGCCACTTAAAGCTGGGGGTGGATTGATGCAAACTTCTCCTTATTTTGGATTTTTGTTTGTTTGTTTGTTTCTTCTTTTTTTAACTTTTATTTTAAGTTCAGTAGCACACGTGCAGGTTTGTTAAGTAGGTAAACTTTTGGCATGGGGTTCTGTTTTACTCATTATTTTATCACCCAGATATTAATCCTAGTAACCGTTAGTTATTTTTTCTGATTCTCTTCCTCCTCCCACCCTCCACCCTCTCATAGGCCCCAGTGTGTATTGTTCCCATCCATGTGTCCGTGTGTTTTCATCATTTAGCTCCACTTACAAGAGAGATCATGCAGTATTTTGTTTTCTTTTCCTGTGTTTGTTTGTTAAGAATAATGACCACCAGATCCATCTATGTCCCTGGAAAGAACATAATCTTATTATTTTTTATTGCTGCATAGACTTCCATGGTGTATATGTATCACATTTCCTTTATCCAGTCTATTATTGATGAACATTTTGGTTGATTTCCTATCTTTGCGATAGTGAATAGTGCTGCAATGAACATACACATGCATGTGTCTTTATAATAGAACCATTTATATTCCTTTGTGTATATACCCAGTAATGGGATTTCTGGGTCCAGTGGCATTTCTGGTTATAGGTCTTTGTGGAATCACCACACTTTCTTCTGCAGTGGTTGAACTAATTTATACTCCCACTAACAGTATAAAAGTGCTTCTTTTTCTCTACAACTTCACTAGCATCTGTTATGTTTTGACTTTTTTAAAAATAGCCATTCTGACTGGTTTGAAATGGTATCTCGTTATGGTTTGGATTTGCATTTCTCCAATGATCAGTACTTTTGAGCTTTTTTCCATATGCTTGTTGGCTGCATGTATGTCTTGTTTTGCAAAGTGTCTGTTCATGTCCTTTGCCCACTTTTTAGTAGGGTTGACAAACAACTCCTTAGTCACTACTACTATTATTGTGCTGGGTCAGACTTGAACCCAGCACTACATTGGGCACAGACCAAGGCCTGTTGTAACCCCTCCCTGGCCACTGCCTATGTTCACTCAAGAGCATGAGGCTATACAATCAGCAGGTGGCAAAGCCAGCCAGGTAGGTTTTTTTTTCTTCAAAACAGCAGGTTTTCCCAGTCCCCAGGTGGGTCCAGACGTGCCACCTGGGAGTCAGAGAATAAACTTAAAAGCCTTAGAAGTCTATCTGATATTCTATTCTGCTGTGTCTGAGCTTGCTTTCAAACTACAAGATGCTGTTCTTCTCACTCTTCCCTCCATTTTCCAAAGGCAAAAGAGCTTCACCCATCACTACTGCCACCAAAATTCCATGAGAGATACTGTCAGAGTACTTCCAATGTTTCCTTAAGGCCCAAGGAATTTAAGTCACACTACAGTAATGCTGCCTAGTCTAGGAGTTACCCTTCAGGACAGTAGGCTCTCCTCTGGCCCAGGGCAGGTCCAGAAATGCCAGTCAAGGTTCAAGTCTTGCAAATTTGAACCCAAAGATTCTGCTTGGTGTTCTACGTTCCTGTAGTTTAGCTGATACCTAAAGCTAGCAAGTCTTAAATGCTCATACAAGCCCCTCATAGTATACATTTGATATTACTACTGGTTTCTCAGGGCCCAAAGGCTCTTCATTTAGCAGGTGATGATTGCTGCCAAGACTAGGTACTCCCCTTCAAGACAGCAGGTTCCCCTCTAGCACAGGGTGTGTCTAGAAATGTCAGCTATGAGCTAGGGCCTGGAACAGGGGCTCATGACTCTGACCAGTGCCTTATCCTGTTGTGGATGAGCTGGTATCTGATATGCAAGATAAAGTCTTGCCCAGTCTTCCCTCTCCTTTACTCAAGCAGAAGGAATGCCTCTCTTGGAGCTGTGAGTTGTTCAGCCTTGGGTTAGGGAAAGGGTTATGCCAGCACTTTCTCAGCTGCCCAGTTGCTGACTCAATAGATTTTGTGCTCCCCTAGTCCTCTGTCTCTTGGCTCAGTTCAGCACTAGGATGCACCTAAGAGTTGCAGTCTTGTGGCCTAGACAGCTCTTAAAGTTTGCTTAGAGACCCAGAGCACTTGAACTCACAGTGGCAAGGTTTGTGGGAACTTAAGTTCAGGCTGCTGGAATTGGCAATTTCCCTTTGTCTAAGGCTGGCTTAAATGCTTTCTGTGTGTGTGGGCTTCAGCTGAATGTGGTCCAGTTTTCCTTTCTGCTCTAACAGGATGACACTGAGTTTAGTGCCTCACAATTGCTGGCTCTTCCTCCTCCAGCACACAGAAATGCTCTCTCTGCACCACACTGCTGCTACTGGAGAATGAGGGAAGTGTGGCATTGGTGATTCAAGATTTTTTTTCTACCTCTTCAGTGCCTCTTTTAGTGATACAAAGTTAAAAGCAGGTACTGTGAGTGCTCACCTAATTTTTAGTTCTTATGAAGCTGCTTTGCTTGTGTAGATTTTTGTAAAATTTGTGTACTTTTGGGGGGATGATCAGCGGAGCCTTCTATGCTGCCATCTTGCTCCACCTCCTATCTTAATACCAGTTTTATTTGGCTACTGCATCTTTTCCAATTAAAATTATACATCTTTTACTTATTTTCTTAGCACTGCATTCAACAAAATTTATATCTAAGTTAATTCAGATGGCATTAATGATATTTCTGTTGTATGTGCATGTATTCTTAGAACAAGAGTTGCAGTATTTGAAACACACATAAAGTTTACACACACACACACACACACACACAAACTTCCTTAACATTTGATACAAACTCATAAAATTAAATTAGGAGAAGTAATCATTAATAGATCAAACTACACCTAGATATTTTTTACTGTGCATTGACTGAAAATTTCCTGAAGAAAACAAAATTGTTCAATTTAATACTTCCATGAATTCCAGCAACATGACTAGACATATTATATGAGTTACTAAAAAATTATTATGCTTCTTTATATAACTATGTGAAAAATATTAAATTTATATTAACCGCTAAAATTTTCTAATGATACAAATGGCCAAAAATTATTGTTCTTCTGTCAAATTGGTCATTTTCAAGCACAATGATTTTGTATGAATAACCTAGAGTGAATGATTATTAAATACTTGCCTAGATTATTAAAAATCATTAGCTACAAAATAGGTAACTGTTTTACAAAAAAACATCAAAACATTTCACTATAAAATATTAAAAATATACACAAGGTAAAGTTCTAAAGTGTTGCACATGTTGACCTTTCCAACTAAAATTTTATTATAACCAAAGCTGCAACCATATCATGTTGCTGCGGTAATGAAACAGATACATTCTCATTTCACTCTTTTCTTTTAGTATTATATATCTTTAATGATTACTTCTCTTAATTTATGAGTAAAAATTTAATTTTTAGTGTAAAATAGTGTAAAAATTAAATTTTTACACTATTATTGTATGTCTGTCTATCTCTTTTCTTAGGTCTAACAGTAATTCTTTTATAAATGTGAATTCTCAAATGTTGAGTCCATATATATTTAGAATAATTAAATTTTCTGGTTGTATTGACTCTTTTATCATTATGTAATGACATTCTTTGCCTTTTTTTACTTTTTTTGGTTTAAAGTCTGTTTTATCTGATATCAGATAGAAACCCTTGCTCTTTTTGGTTTTCCAATTACTTGTCTTAGGGGTCTTTATCCATCCCTCTACTTTGGGCCTGTGGTTATCATTACACATGAGATGGATCACCTGAAGACAGAAGAAAGTTAAGCCTTATTTTTTAAATTGTATCTCACGTTGTCTTTTGAGTGGAGCATTTAGGCCATTCATGTCCAAGGTTAACACTGATATGTGAGGTGTTTTTTTTTTTCCTGTCATAGTGTTTTTAGCTAGACACTTTGTAGTCTCAATTGTGTAATTGATTTATATTACCTGTGAATGTTGTACTAATTTGTGTATTTATGCTGGCAAGTACCATCCTTTTATTTCATTGTTTATAACTCAATGGAGCCTGGTCTGATCATGACAAATTCTCTTTTTGTTTGTTTATCCAGGAAGAACTTCATTTCTCCTTCGTTTATAAAGATCAGTTTCACAGGATATGTAATTCCTGGCTGGCATTTTTCTTTTCATAAGAAGGCTAAAAATAGGTCCACAATCTTTTCTGGGTGGTAAGGTTTCTGCTGAGACCTCTTGTTAGTCTGATAAAATTTCCTTTATTGGTGATTTATCCATTTTCTCTTGTTGCCTTTAAGATTTATTCTTTCATACTGATCTTGGATAGTTTGATGACTATATGCCTTGGTGTTGGTCATCTTGTGTAGAATCTCATAGGTGTTTTCCACAGGTGCTCACCACTGAAAGCATTTCCCAGCATTGAAAGGGCATAGGGGTTTTCCAACAGTTGGACAGCAGATTGCTGCCAGAGTGATGGGAGCAGACCACACTTACCTTCACTTTCCACAGAGTTCTAAGTTCCTCAGTGGTTTATCTCTTCCAGAATCTTGCTGCTTTTCTCTTCTACACCTTGTATCCAGATGTTGACTTCTCTAGCAAAGTTGGACATTTTTCCTGGATTATTTTCTCAAATATGTTGTTCAAGTTGCTTTATTTTTCTTTTTTTTTCTCAGAGATATCAAGAAGTCATAGGTATGAATGTTTTGCATAATCCCATATTCCTGAAAACTTTGTTTATTGAAATTATTTTTTTTAATTTTTGTCTATGTTAATTTGAAAGTTTAGTCTTTAAGCTCTGAAATCCTCTCTTCTACTTGGTCTAGTCTGTTGTAAAAGCTTCCAACTGTATTTTGAAGTTTCTTCAGTAATTTTTTTTTTAATTCTAGAAGTTCTTTATTTTTTGGTATAAGTTTATTTTTTTATTTTATTATTATTATACTTTAAGTTTTAGGCTACATGTGCACAACGTACAGGTTTGTTACATATGTATATATATGCCATGTTGGTGTGCTGCACCCATTAACTCATCATTTAACATTAGGTATATCTCCTAATGCTATCCCTCCCCCCTCCTCCCACCCCACAACAGTCCCCGGTGTGTCATGTTCCCTTTCCTGTGTCCATGTGTTCTCATTGTTCAATTCCCACCTATGAGTGAGAACATGCGGTGTTTGGTTTTTTGTCCTTGTGATAGTTTGCTGAGAATGATGGTTTCCAGCTTCATCCATGTCCCTACAAAGGACATGAACTCGTCCTTTTTTATGGCTGCATAGTATTCCATGGTGTCTATGTGCCACATTTTCTTAATCCAGTCTATCATTGTTGGACATTTGTGTTGGTTCCAAGTCTTTGCTATTGTGAATAGTGCCGCAGTAAACATACGTGTGCATGTGTCTTTGTAGCAGCATGATTTATAATTCTTTGGGTATATACCCAGTAATGGGATGGCTGGGTCAAATGGTATTTTCAGTTCTAGATCACTGAGGAATTGCCACACTGACTTCCACAATGGTTGAACTAGTTTACAGTCCCACCAACAGTGTAAAAGTGTTCCTATTTCTCCACATCCTCTCCATCACCTGTTGTTTCCTGACTTTTTAATGATCGCCATTCTAACTGGTGTGAGATGGTATCTCATTGTGGTTTTGATTTGCATTTCTCTGATGGCCAATGATGATGAGCATTTTTTCATGTGTTTTTTGGCTGCACAAATGTCTTCTTTTGAGAAGTGTCTGTTCATATCATTTGCCCACTTTTTGATGGGGTTGTTTGTTTTTTTCTTGTAAATTTGTTGGAGTTCATTGGTTTGTTAGTTTTCCTTCTAACAGTCAGGACCCTCAGCTGCAGGTCTGTTGGAGTTTGCTGGAGGTCCACTCCAGACCCTGTTTTCCTGGGTAACAGCAGCGGTAGCTACAGAACAGTGGATATTGGTGAACTGCAAATGCTGCCACCTGATCGTTTCTCTGGAAGATTTGTCTTAGAGGAGTACCTGGCTGTATGAGGTGTCAGTATGCCCCTACTGGGGGGTGCCTCCCAGTTAGGCTACTCGTGGGTCAGGGGCCCACCTGAGGAGGAAGTCTGCCTGTTCTCAGATCTCAAGCTGCCTGCTGGGAGAACCACTACTCTCTTCAAAGTTGTCAGACACGGACATTTAAGTCTGCAGAGGTTATTGCTGTCTTTTGTTTGTCTGTGCCCTGCCCCAGAGGTGGAGCCTACAGAGGCAGGCAGGCCTCCTTGAGCTTTGTTGGGCTCCACCCAGTTCAAGCTTCCCAGCCACTTTGTTTACCTACTCATGCCTGGGCAATGGCGGGTGCCCTTCCCCCAGCCTCGCTGCCACCTTGCAGTTTGATCTCAGACTGCTGTGCTAGCAATGACCAAGGCTCCGTGGGCATAGGACACTACAAACCAGGTGCAGAATATAATCTCCTGGTGTGCCATTTGTTAAGCCATTGGAAAAGCGCAGTATTAGGGTGGGAGTGACCCAATTTTCCAGGTGCCATCTGTCAACCCTTTCTTTGACTAGGAAAGTGAATTCCCTGACCCCTTGAGCTTCCCGGGTGAGGCTATGCCTTGCCTTGCTTCGGTTAACACACAGTGCACTGCACCCACTGTCCTGCACCCACTGTCCAGCACTCCCCAGTGAGATGAACCCGGTACCTCAGTGGGAAATGCAGAAATCACCCATCTTCTGTGTCACTCACCCAATTCTGGAAGTTCTAACCATTTTTTAAAAATATATAGCTACCTCTCTTTTTTTTTATATTCTAAATATTTTTTTCTGGTTTATTTGTGTTGGATTTGAAGTTTTTTTCGCTCTCATTGAGTTTCACTGCAATCCATATATACAATCCTTTGTCACTTCTGACTTTTCATTTCTTTTAGCATTCATTGCTAAAAAACTAGTGCAAGCTGGGCGTGGTGGCTTACGCCTGTAATCCCAACACTTTGGGAGGCTGAGGTGGGTGGGTCACCTGAGGTCAGCAGTTCAAGACCTGGCTGACCAACATGTAGAAACCCTGTCTCTACTACAAATACAAAGCTGGGCATGGTGGCTCATGCCTGTAATCCCAGCTACTTGGGAGGCTGAGGCAGGAGAATCACTTGAACCTGGGAGGCAGAGATTGTTGTGAGCCGAGATCACACCATTGCACCATTCCACTCCAGCCTGGGCAACAAAAGTGAAACTCTGTCTCAAAAAAAAAAAAAAAAAAAAAAGATAGCACAACCCTCTGGAGTTGTTAAGACACTCTGGATTTTTTTACTGCCAGAGTTCTTGCCTGAATGTCATCTAAAGGTGTCAACTTTTATTTTTGAATTGATATTGCTTGAATAGGACATTTTATTTTTTCCCTTGAGATTATGACTGTGATTTACATTGTTTATTACCATTTGGCTTCATTTATGGGTCCTTTCAGGGAGCCAAAACTTTGTATGGGTTCCTGGGTTGTGGATAGATTATTTATAGCTATAATCAAAATGTGCTCAAGGCAGAATCTCTTTCCCATTCCAGAGAAGATAACTGGGTGGTTTGTCAGTCATCTATTACTGGTCCACTGGCACTCTGTGCAGGGATGGGGAGTTTGGCCCCACACTCTATGCAAGCCCAAGCAGCATGGGCTCACTTTTAAATGCAAGGAACTGTGAAAAGCACAATAAGCACTTTTTCCAGGTGCTCAACCTCTGGCCCCACTGGGGAGAAACACTGCTGCATCCACAACAGTTGATGGGTGGGGGGTGGGAGATAACCCCTTCTCCACAACAATCCTCAGCTGTCAGTGCTGCAGGCTTCAGTGATTGGCACCATACCTACATTTCTTTTGTCTCATAGGGGCTTTGACAGGCTGTGCTCCTCACTTCTTTAGGAGCATCTCATGCCAAAGGTTAGATCACCAGGGGTTCCACAGCTCCCTGGGCATCCACTGGTTCCCTGTGCTTGCCAAAGTCAGAGCAGGTTTTGGAGTATGTTTTCAGGGGATCTAGTAGTTTGATGACTTAAAGGAAGAAATTCTCTGGACTGGATAGTGTCTCACAACAGATGCATAACCAGTATGGCACCTGACATCTCAGTTCAGATCTGCAGGAAGTGCAGGCTTATGTACATAAGCTGTTTAACCAATTCTTTGTCCCCTGGCAGTTTCTAAGTCACCACTGAAAGCATTTCCCGGGGTTGGAAGGGCATAGGGGCTTTCCAACAGTTGGATAGCAGATTGTTGCCAGAGTGATGGGAGCAGAGCACTCTTACCTACACTTTCCACAGAGTTCCAAGTTCCTCAGTGGTTTATCTCTACCAGACTCTTGCTGCTTTTCTTTTCTGCACCTTAACTTCTTTGCATGGGCACTGTAACAGGTCCTGGCTGTCTTCCTTTAGTTTTCCATTAGAAAAATGTTCATTTACCAATAACTTTGACCTTCTTTCTGGGGAGGTCTGTCATCCAATATGTCTAGTCAGCCATCTTGCATTATAAGCTGAAGTGATTTTTTTAAATCTAAGTCTACATATATAAATCCTTGCTAAAACTCATTCATTTGCTTCCAATATCACTTAAAACATTAGCCAATGTCTTTAAAATAGGCCTTTGTATTATCTGAATATTTATACGTAAGGAACCTAGCTATTGTCCCTTTTTTGGACCACTTGATCTTTTATCTCAGTTTATTATTGACATCTGCTCATTTCTCCTGTTTCCCTATGTAAATCTCCCTTCTGCCTATCAATGGATATGGTTTAAGTATTTGCATTTTTGTTGTTTTAAAGATTTTCTGATTGTCAATCTCTAAATTGATTAGTTTAAGTTGTAGAAAAAGAATCCTGATGGCCTGACTATATTATGGGGCGTAAGGGCAGGATGGGCATAAGCTAGTAAGAACAATTTATTCAGCTGGAGGTATAGAAACTACTTCTAAAAGAATGAGATATGGGTTAGGCAGGCATTTCTCACATGTTCACAAGAGCGTGAAACATACTAGCAGATGGCAATTCCTTCCATAATTTTAACATCTGTTCAATTAAAACTTTCTCATATTTTAATACAGTTCTCTCAGAAAATCTTTGTATTTTAAAATTTTCTCATCTCAAAAGAGGAAATGTCATAGAAATATAAGGCTCTGAAACCATTAGTAAAAAGAGCAATAACTTTCAGGCTAAAGAGGATTGATTTAATTTTTTTTTTTTTTTTTTAATTGAGATGAAGTCTCACTCTTATCACCTAGGCTGGAGTGCAGTGGTGCAATCTTGGCTCACTACAACCTCCACCCCCCAAGTTCAAGTGATTCTCCTGCCTCAGCCTCCTGAGTAGCTGGGATTACAGGCACCTGCCACCATGCCCGGCTAAGTTTTGTACTTTTAGTAGAGACGGGGTTTAGCCATGTTGACTAGGCCGATCTCGAACTCCTGATCTCAGGTGATCCACCTGCCTCAGCCTCCCAAAGTGCTGGGATTACAGGCCTGAGCCACTGCGCCTAGCCTGATTTAATTTTTTATAACCTACGCTGAGCATATAAATTGATAGCCACTGAAATGACAAAGTATATTCTGTGTGTGATTTTTACAAACAATACGTATAAGAAATGCATTGGCTTTTGCATTGTGGTTTTGACATAACCTTCCTTAGAGGTAGAAAGAGAAAAGGGAAACAATCTTTTTAAGTTATTTGTGGCCCTACTGCTTTAGATGTAATGTAAAAGATTTGTTCTAAAATATTTAAGACATTAAAAATTATAAAGACTGATTAAATGACACCTCAGTAACTAGCTTAGAAAATAAAATTCCATAATAACAGTTGAAAGCTGCTATTCTCCTACACAATTGCAATCACTTTCTTCTCCTATTCCTCATACTTACCCTCCATCTAACACCAGGGGTAATCAAGATTCTGAACTGGTGTTTATTATACATTTTTTGGGGGGAAGAAAAGTTGGTTATTCATTAATATAAATGTACTTTTTCTTGCCTTAGTGTATTTTTTCAGAATATATTTACCTTCCTTGCTTTTCAGTTAAAAATATCTTTTCAAATTAGATTTTACCAGTAAAAAGTTAAATTGTTACCATTAAAAAATTAAAACAAGAATATAGCAATACATCAACTTTAAAACAAAAAATTATCTGCTGGTTATTTTTTTGTCCCAATTTCAATGAAAGTAGGAGAGACTCTAGTAGTTTATTATGCTGACTAAGGTTTATCTTTTTTACTTATTGGATGAGGTATGATAACTCAGGGAGGGAATGCTAAGGGTTGGTAATTGATTTTTTTTTTTTGTCCTGGGGAATAAATGCAATTTCTTATTCAAGCCAACCACACAAAATATTATAGTTTTTTTCAGGCTTGTTGCCTGTTTGTCTTTACTTTTTGGAAAAAGCTCTAATTTTGCCCTGTTTTTTTTTTTTTTTTTTTTTTGCATAGAATAATTGCTGAAGGTTATATTCCATTGCATAAATATTTATTTTAAATCTTTTATTACTGGTATTCTAAATGGTTTAGTGTAGAGAACTTTATTCATGTTCCTTTTATTATTTTTAAATCCCCAAATGGTCAATATACTAAGTTGTTTAATTCACATTATAATTATTTTTTTTTTGCTTGAGCAAAAAAAAATCTGATTTCTGTATTTATATGGTAACTGATAGATATAACAAGAAGAGTAAATATATGCTTTACAGATATAAAGAGGGTTTTTAACAATTATAATTATGTCCTGTAAATGTCTTTAGCATAAATATATTCTAAACACCTTAAATTGCAATTTCTACGTAAATAAGATCTCATTTACTTTCGTCAGTTTGTTTCAGGTTCCAAAAAAATAATGTCCTGGTCTGTTGCTTTCTGAAATGTTTTTATTCAACAGACTATTTCTGATTCATTTTTGGTCATTTGGATAAACTTCCCATTCTTTAAAGTTCTCAAAGACATGTCTCTGATTTGGTATGTAAGAAATTTAGAAATTACCACTCTGCCCTAAAACCAAAGTAAAATGCTAAACAAACTTACATATCAACAGTTCTTCTTAGATCTATCAAATAAGTAAGGTCACAAGAAAAGCTAATACCTTCAAAACTGGAGAGACATTCATGAAAATACAGAGACTACAATGTAACCACAGGGTTGGGGGGCGCAGGGGTGGATCACTAGCAGAAACCTCTATCAGAACCAATGCTTGGAGAGGAAAACATAAATTGTAATTGATGACTTGGTGGAGTCTCAATTTGGACAAATCTAAAAAGTTGAAAACTCCATGGTGGTCAGGGATGTGGGGATCCCCTATACTTTTGTAAATTTTACCTCCAGAAGCTACACCAGGTCCTCACAGTAAATATCAGGAAAAAATAATCTCCTTGTGCTTCCAGCAGGGAGGATGGGAAAATGAATCATTTTGTAATACACTAGAGCATGCTGTACTTCTAAATAATGTCTGCCTTCAAGGAAACTATGTTATCAGAATCTAACCTGCTGGCATTTTACCAGAGCCTAATCTAACTGGGGAAAGGTAAATATCTGACTCTAGCCAACTCTAGCTTTGCACATAGGAAAAGGGAAATATACAACTCCAGCCCCCCTAGCCATTCTATTCCACCTAAAAAGGGAGAAAAAACACAAGAAGCACTAGTGGAGGTTACAATCCAGGACCACAACTCATCAAAAGACTGAGATCTAATTATGTTACTGTACAATGCTATTTTCACTTTCCATAATTTATCACTACATTATTAAAGGCCTATTTACCTCAGTTACTTTATCAAGTGCATCATGCCCATATTTTAATTTAAAAAATACAAGGCATATTTGAAGACAAAAAGTACAGTTTGAAGAAAATAAGCAAGCACAAGAACCAAAGTTATATATGGCAATGATGTTGGAATTGTCAGAGTAGGGATTTTTAAAAATCACTATGATTAATATGTTATGGGCATTAATGGAAAAGTAGATAACACACAAAAATATAGCTAATGTACAAGAGATGGAAATTATAAGAAATAATCAAAGAGAAATGCTAGAGATAAAAAACACTGTAACAGAAATGAAGCATGCCTTTGAAAGGCTCAATAGTAGACCAGAAATAATTGAGGAAACAATCTCTGTGCTTGAGAATATGACAATAGACACTTCCAAAATTAAAATTCAAAGAAAAAAGATGGAAAAAATTCAAAATATTCAAGAACTGTTGTTCAATGACAAAAGGTGAAACATATGCCTAATTGGAATGCCAGAAGGAGAAGAAAGAAGAGAACATAAAAAAAGACATATTTCAGGCAGTATCGACTGAGAATTTCTGCACGTTAATGTCATACACAAAAGCACAAATCCAGGAAGCAGAGAATACCGTGTGGGATAAATACAAAAAAGAATCATACCTAGGCATATAATGTTCAAACTGCAGAAAACTTAAGAAATCTTGAAAGAAGCCGGGGATGGGGGTAGGAAACATCTTACCTACGGAAAAACAAATAACAATTAAAACCAACAGCCCCTCAGAAATCACACAAGCATTAAGAGAGTGGAGTAAAATATTTACAGTTAAGAGGAAAGTATCAACAACCTAGAATTCTAAATTCTATAAAATTACCCTTCAAAAGTGAAAGATAAATGAAGACTCTATCTAACAAAAATTGAGAATTTTTGCTGCCACTAGCCATGCCTTGCAAGGAAGATTAAAAGAAGTTATTCAGAGAGAAGAGGAATAATATTTTATATCATTGGGATGAGAGTCCCCTCCAAATCTCATGTTAAAATGTGATCCCCAATGTTGTAGATATGGCCTGTTGGCAGGTATTGAATCACAGTTGTGGTTCTCTCATAAATTGCTTAGTGCTATCTGCTTGGTGATAGAGTTCTCGCTCAGTTAATTTAAATTAAATCTGGTCATTTGGAAAGGTCTTAGACCTCCTTCTTCTCTCTCATGCTCTCTCTTTCACCATGTGACTTACTTGCTCCCCTTTCACATTTTGCCATGACTGAAATCTTCCTGAGGCCCTTGCTAGGGGCAGATGCTGGTGCCATGATTTCAGTACAGCCTGAAAAATTATCAGTCAATGTAAACTATTTTTTAAATAAATTATTCAGCCTCAGTTAATTCTATATAGCAACACAAAAAATGAACTAACACAATATAAGTGAGAAATGCATATCTACATAAAGAACCTTAGAGAATAAGTGAAGGTAGTATAAAAACTTTTATTTTCTTATTTTTAATTGATCTAAAAATAATAATTTTTTCAAAATAATAACACCAACTCATGTGAAATGCTTACATGTAAATAAAATGGATAACATAAATTACACAAGAAATAAGAGGGAGAAATTAGAAATACATTGTTATTATAAGGTACTCACACTACCTATGAAATAGTATAGTGTTATTTGAAAGTAATCTTGGATTAGTTGTACATGTATATTGCAAACTCTAGAACAACCACTAGAAAAAATTTTTTAAATAAATATAATCGATATGCTAAAAAAAGAGAGAAAAAGAAAGCACATAAAATTCTCAATTAAAATTACAAAAGATAGAAAAAGTATGAAAAACAAAAATAGAAACAAAGAACACGGGCAACAACTAGACTAAATAGTAACAATTGTAGTAGATATTAATCCAACTGTATCAATAATTACCTTGAATGTCAATGGTTTAGATACACTGATTTAAAGGCAGAAACAGTCAGAGTGGGTATTAAAAACAAAACTCAACTATAATTTGACCAGAAAAAAGAACCCACTGTAAATATAAAAACACATATAGATTAAAAGTAAAAGGATGGATAGAGATATACCATAATAACACTAATGAAAAGATAGCAGAAGCAACTGTATTAATCTCAGAGAAGACTTTAGAATCAAGAAAGTTATTAAAGGGGGGCGTTAAATAAGGATAAGGTAGTCAATATTTCAAGAATACTTAAAACTCCCTAATGTCAGCAGACTAAAGATGAAAAACCACTTGATCATATAAAGTGATGCAGAAAAAGCATCTGACAAAACTTAATATCATTTTATAATTAGAACTCTAAAAAAACTAGTAACAGAGGGGGACTTTTTCAACTTGATTAGTAACATTTACAAAAAATAGTATAGGTAACACCACCTTAATAGTGAAAAACCTGATGCTTATCTACTAAGATCAGGAACAAGGCAAGGACATACCATCTTACCACTGCTTTTAAACATCATCCTGGAATTTCTTTGTAACTTCATAAGACAATAAAAGGAAATAAAAGTTATGCAGACTGAAAAGGAAGTAACGAAACTGTCTTTGTTCACAGAAGACATTAATATCTATGTAGAAAATCCAAAAGAATCAACAAAAACCTCCTAGAACTAATAAACAATTGTAGCAAGGTTGCAGAATATAAGTTTAATTTACTGAAGTCAATTGACTTTTTATATATTAGCAAAAAAAGACACAGTAGAATTTTAAATTAAAAACACATTACCACTTACATTAGCACCCACAGAAATAAAATACATAGGTATAAATTTAACAACACATGTGCAAGAGCTATATTTTTTAAAACTATAAAACTAATAAAGAAATCAATAATTAAATAAATGGAGATATATTCCATGTTTATAGATAGAAAGCCTCAATGTTTTTAATATGCTAGAGCTTTTTAACTTGATCTATCTATATATACAACCAATCCCAATCAAAATCCCAGCAAGTAGTGTGAATAGTGAAAAATTGATTCTAATGCTTATATGAAGAGGTAAAGAACTCATGATTGCCGATTCAATATTAAAGAAGAGCAAATATGGAGTACTGATAGTACCTGACTTCAAGACTTACTGTAAAGCTAAAGTAATAATGACAGTTTTCTATTTGTGAAAGAACAAATGGATCAGTGTAACTAAATACAGAGACCAGAAATAAACCCACATAATGTAGTTCATTAATCTTTGACCAAAGAAGCAAAGGCAATAAAATTGAGCAAACATAGTATTTTCAACAAATGTGTTGAAATATATGGACATATCTATTAAAATAAAAGAATGTTGACACAGAACTTAATATCTTTCAAGAAAATTAACTGAAAACAAATCATGGACATCAGAATAAAACACAAAACTATAAAACTTGTAGAAGATAACAGAAAAGAGAAACCGGATTATTTTGAGTATGGTGATAATTTTTACAAGACTAAAGGCATGATCTATGAAATAAATAATCGATAAGCTGGACTTCATTGAAATTACAAACTTCTGCTCTTAAAAAAGTCACTTTTGAGAAAATGAGAAGGCAAGCCAAAACTGGAAAAAAAGTATTTCCAAAAGACACATTTTATAAATGACTATTATCTAAATATATATTTAAAAACTTATGTAAAAAGTAAAGTAGAGGTTCCTCTTCAAAGACTTTCCTCCCCATCTAATTAGGAATAAATAGCAACTTCTCTTAGAAGCAAAATTTATTCAAAGAGCTGTTCTAACATTCTTAAATATCTGCTAGCTGTAATAAAGAAATCAATGTACTTTATATTCTTAGCTCCCACAATTTAGCCTAAATATTTGCCCTGGCATGCTTATACTGGTCTAAGCAAGCATTAAGTCATAGCCTTTTCCTCTTCCTTATTTGAAGGTGTTTTTACCTTTCTCAACATTCCACAAGTTTACTTCCTCCTTCTTTTTTCTCCTCTGCCTTTGCTTCTTTTAAAAATTTCTAAGTTGCTAGCCAATCAGCACAAATACAGAATGTGAGGTCCCATTCCAGCCAATGGAAACCGGACACAGCAATAGGGTGGATGCGTCAGGTTATAAATGACCCTGTCTCCTTTGTTCGGTGTACTCTCATGGCAAAACTGCTGGCAAGTGTATGCTTTCTGCAGAAAGTTAAAATGGCCTTGCTGAGGAAATTAAATTTATCTTCAAGTGCTATTTCTTTACGGCACTGAGAAAAAAGCATTTCAAACACTTATAAAACTCAATAGTAATATATGGAGCAATTCAGTTTTTAAAAATGAGCAAAAGACTTGAACAGATACTTTATCAAAGTATATATGTAGATGGCAAGTAAGCACATGAAAATATTATATGCTCAGCATCATATTTTCGTAGGGAACTGCAAATTAAAACAACAACGAGCTACTACTACACACCTATTAAAATGGATGACATCTAAACACTAACAACATCAAATGCTGGTGAGGATGTAGAAAAGCAGGATCTTTCATTCATTACTGCTGGGATTGCAAAATGGTACAACCACTTTGGTGGGTAGTTAGGTAGTTTCTTAGAAAATTTAACATACTTTTACCATAAGTTCTTATAATCACACTCCTTAATATTTACCCAAAATTATTAAAGACTTATTTCCACATAAAACCTGAATAAAATTGTTTAGACCACCTTTGTTTATAATTGCCAGCATTTGGAAGCAACCAAGATGTCCTTAAGTAGGTATTGAATACATAAGCTGTGATGCAGCCAGACAATGGAGTATTACTGAGCACTAAAAATAAATTAGCTATTGATTTATGAAAAGGCATGAAGGTACTCTAAATGCATGTTACCAAGTGAAAGAACCCAATCTAAAGAGGCTACATACTGTATGATTCCAATTATATGACATTCTGGAAAAGGAAAAACTATAGAGATAGTAAAAAGATTAGTGGTTGTCGGGAGGGAAATATGAATAGGAAGAGCACAAAAAAATTTTAGGACAGGAAAACCATTCTGTAAAACACCATAATTGTAAATACATGTTATTATACCTTTGTCAAAATCCACAGAAGGTACAACACCCAGAGTGAGCCTCAATGTAAACTGTGGACTTTGTTTGATAATAAATTGCTAATGTAGGTTCATTGATTGTAACAACTGTAACACTCTGAGTCAGGATGTTGATAGTGAGAGAGGTTGTCCTCGTGTGAGACCAGAGGCAGATGGAAACTCTTTTAACTTTTTACTCAGTTTTGCTAAGAACCTATAACTTCTCTACTAAGTAATGTTATTAATTAACAAGAGCGTACTGTAATAAAGACCTTGCTTGTCAGCTAGCCTTGACATTATATATCCACAAACTTGCAGAATTATGAACTATTCTTTAAGACTTGGCCCATGAAAGGATCAGAGATTGAAGCCCAGCTAATGAGGGGTACTTGAATGCTAAGTACTTCTATGATATGACTCTAAGATAATTATATTTCCATGATTACAGTTCAGACAACAGTAAAATCTCCTATTCAAAATGGTCATTGAAGTTAACTGGCTGGTGAAGAATCTGCTTCTAATTGTTAGCAAGGTATAAGGTGTAGCATAATCAGCCATTAGTTGGAAATAAAGTGAAATCAGAAGTTAAAACCAAGCACAATTCAGAAACAGTTTAAACTCACCTTATCCAGAATAATTATGAGAGATATAATATAGACATTAAAGAGATACGCATAGAAAAATTAGCTAGCAAGAGAGTAAATTTCGGACAAAAAACTTACCTGTATCTATGATTCTGGAAACAAGAATAATTTCTCTAGGGTCACCTGGCTTGAAAAGAGACAATATATAAATGCAAAATCACATAGGTGCGAAAGGCCAAGATTTATGTTTGTCAATGTGAAATTAAGACCTGAAACAAGCTGTTTAGATCACTGTATAATCAGCATGCTCTGAGTACCTTGAAGTCTATTGGTAAATGTTCAGTTGCAGAAAATGAAATCAATTTTACCTAATTTAAGCAGAAATGAATTTATTAAAGGGAATGGCTTGCCAACTAATTCAAACTACTGAAGAAATAAACTCTAGGTTATACTTTCAGGAAAAATTTGCAGTCATATTGCAGAACTAAACCACCAAGGGAGCTACTGCCTCTTCTATGATTAAGAAGCAACCTGGTAAGATTTCCCTCCTAGTAGTATAGGCCGACTCCGCAGTTAAACTGGGATAAATTATATTTAAAAAAACATTTAAAGTCTTGGAAAGTGTTCCTAGATACAGACAGCAAATGAAAAACCATTACTATATAAAACCTAATTAAAGAATATAAAAATCTGTTTTATTTGAACCATACTACATTTTCTACCACTCCCCTCCTAACTCAGCATGAGTAAAACTCTACAGAAATACAGCCATACCAAAACTTGTCTTCCCCTTAGCTCCCAGTTGGAGAGCTATGGTATCTTCCAGGAGGGGCACAACATCACCTTTTATCATTTTTCTCCCCAGTTACCTGTTACTGAAGCTGTGTTTTTGGTTATTGCAACTAAAAAGAGAGGCTTTTTTCTTTCACCCAGTCCCACTCATACAGGAAAGAAGCTCTAAATTGGCCACAGTGCACTGATAATACTGGCACATTTTTAATTATAATTTCCCAGCTTATTTATAAAGCAAAGATTCTAAAACTGGAAAGACAAGCCACACAGAACAGGATGTACTATCTCTCTCTGCTGTGTGCTGATTTCCAATAACAGAGGTGTCACTCAGAGTGAAGGACATAACTGTCCCTGCCCCTAGTCGTTGTTAATAGAATTTGCCCAAGGAAAAGGACCATAAAACAGAGAGCTCTGAAGTTCTTCTCAAAGGAACTGACATTTATTTTCAACAGAGCATGAAGAAGTTCAAGCCTAAGGGTGTGCTCAAAAACAGTGGAAGTGAATTCATCAGAGATAAAGGCTAAATTTTAGCCCAGCTAGTTTACCAAAGAGAACCAAGGAAAGACACCACTAAGTGACATTACAGGGTCAGAACTAATCTCAAACACTGTCCTCAAACATTATTCTATGTTCAATTCTTATTTTAAGTTTAGGGGTACATGTGTAGCTTTGTTACATAAGTAAACTTGTTTCATGGGGGTTTCTTGTACTGATTATTTCATCACCCAGGAATTAAGCAAAATATTTGTTAGTTATTTTTCCTGATCCTCTCCCTCTTCCCACCCTTTACTCTCCAATAGGCCCCAGTGTGTGTTGTTTTCCTCTTTGTGTTCATGTGTTCTCATAATTTAGCTCCAACTTATAAATGAGATGTGACTTTGGACCTTGGAATTTCAGTTAATGCTGGAATGTGTTAAGACTTTAGGAGACTGTTGGCAAAGCATGATTGTATTTTGCAATGTGAGGACATAAGATTTGCAGATGCCAGGAGTGGAATTATATGGTTTGGATCTGTGTCCTCACCAAATCTCATGTGGAATTGTAATCCTCAGTGTTGAAGATGGGGCCTGGTGGTGGGTGATTGGATCATTGAGGCAGATTTCTCATGAATGGTTTAGCATGATCCATGGTGGTGCTGTCATCATGATAGTGAGTTCTCATGAGATTTGATGGTTTAAAAGTATGTATGACCTCCTCCCTCTCTCTCTTGCTCCTTCTCTGGTCATGTAATATGTCTGTTCTTCCTTTACATTCCATCATGATTGTCAGTTTTATGAGGCCTCTCCAGAAGCCAAGCAGGGTACAAGTTGTCAGTGGATCTAATTTTTCTGGGTCTGGAGGATAATAGACCTATTCTCACACCTCCACTAGGCAATGTCCCAGTGGGGACTTTGTGTGGTGGCTCCATACCCACATTTTTTTCTTCACACTGTCCTAGTAGAGGTTCTCCATGAAGGTTCCACCCTTGCAGCAGGCTTCTTTCTGGACATGCAGGGTTTTCAATACATCCCCTAAAATCTAGGTCAAGGTTCCCATGCCTTTTACTCTTACATTCTGTGCACCCACAGACTTAACACCATTTGAAAACCACAAAGACTTTCCACTTTCACCCTCTGAAGCAGCAGCTCAAGCTGTACTTAGGCACATTTGAGGTATGGCTGGAGCTGGAATGGCTGGAATGCAGGTTGCATTGTAACCATGTTATGCAGGGCATTGGGGTCCTTATGCTGGCCCACAAACTATTTGGTCCCCCTATGCCTCAGGGTCCATGATAGGAGTGGCTGCCACGGTGATTTCTGAAATGCCTTTGAGGCTTTTTCCCCATTTTCTTGGCTGTTAAAACTTGGCTCCTTTTTACTTATGAAAATTTCTGCTGCTTGCCTGATTTCTTCCCCTGCAAATAAGCTTTTCATTTTTACCACAAGGCCAAGCTGTAAATTTTCAAAACTTCTATACTCTACTTACCCTTTAAATACAAGTTCCAGCCTTAAGTCATTTATTTGCTCATGCATATCATATAAGCATAGGCTGTTAGAAGCAGCCAGGACACTTCTTGGATGCTTTGCTGCTTAGAAATGTCTTTCACCAGCCACCAGCTACCCTAAATTATCATTCTGAACATTAAAGTTTCACAGATCTTTAGGGCAGATGTACAATGCAGCCAAATTCTTTGCTCAAGCATAACAAAAATGACCTTTTTTCCAGTTCCCAATAAGTTTCTCTTATCTGTCTGAGACCTCTATAGCCTGGCCTTCATTGTTCATATCACTATTGGTGTTTTAGTCACAACCATTTAACCAATCTCTAGGAATTTCCAAACATTCCCTCATCTTTCTGTCTTCCTCTGAGCCCTCAACACACTTCCAACATCTGCCTCTTACCCAATTCCAAAACTGCTTTCACATTTTTTGGTATCTTGATAACAATGCTTTAAGCCTTGGTACCAATTTTCTGTATTAGTCTTTTCTCATATTGCTATAAAGAAATACCTGGGATTGGGTACTTTATAAAGAAAAGAGGTTTACTTGTCTCATGGTTCAGCAGACTGTGCAGGAAATATAGCGGCATATGATTGGGCTCTGGAGAGGCCTCATAAAACTTGTAATTATGGCAGAAAGTAAAAGGGGAGCAGATATGTCACATGGCCAGAGCAGGAGCAAAAGTGAGAGGGGAGAGCTGCGAAACACTTTTAAGCAACCAGATCTCATGAGAACTTGCTATCATGAGGACATCACCAAGAGAGATGATGCTATACCATTTATGAAATATTTGCCCCCATAATCCAATCACCTTCCACCAGGTCCCACCTTCAACATTGAGGATTACAATTCGACATGAGATTTAGTGGGTACACAGATCCAAACTGTATCAAACAGGTAATTGACAATGTTTCATCAGAGAATATTAATAAAGAGATAAGTTATTAAAATGAAAACTATGGAATTGATAGATACAATAATGAAAAATGAACAATTTACTAAAGATGCTTCATGGTATAAGAATTAGCAGACTTGAAGATAAATTGATAGAAATTATATAAATCAAAAATTAAAAGAAAATTAGAATAATCCAGTCTATCATTGTTGGACATTTCAGTTGGTTCCAAGTCTTTGCTATTGTGAATAGTGCCGCAATGGAGGGATAGCATTAGGAGAAACACCTAATGCTAAATGACGAGTTAATGGGTGCAGCACACCAGCATGGCACATGTATACATATGTAACTAACCTGCACATTGTGCACATGTACCCTAAAACTTAAAGTATAATAATAATAAAATAAAATAAAATAAAGAAAATTAGAATAAATAAAAATGAACATATTCTCACAGAAATGTGGAACATTAAGCACACAAACTTACCAGTAAAGAAAGTAACAGAGAGGAGTAAAAAAAGCAGAAATAATACTTCAAAAAATAATGCTCAAAATTTGCTAAATTTGATGAAAAATTTTAATCAACACATTCTAGAAACTCAACAAATGCTATGTAAGCAAAACAGAAAAATAGGCAAAGAAACTTTATAATGTAAATGCTGAAAATCAAAGACAAGAGGAAAATTTTGCAATCAGCAAGAGCAAACTTATTTATAACTTACAATGAAACTCCAATAAGATTAAAAAGTGCCTTTTTATCAGAAACAAAGGAGACCATAAAGCAGTGAGATACATATTTGAAGTGCTTTGAGAAAAAAAAAGGCAATCAAAAATCTTATATTTAGAAAAAATATCTTTCAACAATGAAGACAAAATAAAGACATTTCAAAAATATTTAAAAATTAAGAGAATGTGTTGTTAGCAAACCTGCTTTATAATAAATAGCAAAGGAAGTTCTTTAGGATAAAAGCAAGTGACTGCAGAAAATAATTTACGTACACATACAAAAACAAAGAGCAACAGCAAAGGTAATTATGCAATTGAAAAATTAACACAGAAGCAGATATTTCTTATTTCTTCTCTTAACAAATTTAAAAACAATTGTATAAGACAACATGTATATAATTGTATCTGGCTTATATAGCAAACAAATATGTGATATTAGTGTGAATAATATCATGAAGGATGTAGGTGAGACCAAGGCTGTATAAGTCTGTAGTAATTACAGCAAATGGTAACAGAAATTAAGGAACAAATAAAGAGAACAAAAAATGACAAATAAGGTTATAAGGATTGAAATAATACAAATTATTTTGGTTCAGTTATAATGGAATGGAACTAGGAACCAATAATAAAGAAAATTTGGAAACTCACAAATATGTGAAAATTAAACAATACACTTCTATACAACAAATGGGTCAAATAAATAATCACAAGGAAAATTAGAAAATAATTTGAAATAAATAAAAATATAAAACACATGCAAAAACTTATGAGATGTAGCTAAATAGTGCATAGAGAGAAATATATAGGTAAAAATGTCTATATTCAGATAGAAGAAAGTTCTCAAATCAATAATCTAACTGACTGCCTTAGGAAAATGGAAAAAAGAGAAAACTAAAAGTAAGTATATTGAAAAAAGAATAAAGTTTATACTGGAAATTAGTAAAATCTAAAATAGAAAAGAATACAGAAGTGCAACAAAACCAAAAATTGGTGCTTCAAGAATTCAACAAACTTGAAAAACTTTTAGTTCAATTAACCAAGAATGAAGGAAGGGAGACCTGATTCCACAGCTAAAGTATTAGGTGACATTACTACCAACTATTCAGAAATTTCTCAAATATTATAAAGGAATACTATAACCAATTGTATGCCAACAAATTGAATAGCTTACATAAAATAGAAAAGTTCCTAGAGAAACACAAAATGCTGAAAGTGACTTAAAAAAAAGGAAAACCCTGAAAAGAAGTACATGCACAGAGATTAAATTACTAACCAAAAATATATTCACAAAGACCCAGAAAAAAAGATTTTGCTACTGTATTCTAACAAGCACTTAAATAACTGATACCAATTACTCATAAATGCTTCCAAAAACAGAACAGAAAGAAATACTTCCCAACTCTTTATTTTAGTCCAATAATATCTGGATATGAAAACCAAAGAAAACAAAATAAAAAAACACACAGTCTGATATCTCTTATAACAGATGTAAAAATGCTCAACAAAATGCTAGCCAACTGAATACAGCAGCATGTTAAATGGATCATAAACGATTATCTCAGATTTGTCCCAAGAATGCAAAGTTGTTTTAACATCTAAAAATCAATGTATTTTAAAGTACAATTTTATTTTGCATGGTTAATGTACAAAATATTTCCACCTCCCTTGAAAAACAGTATTGTATCTAAATTGGAATATATTGCTGAGATATATAGCTGAAAACATACAGTTCACTTAACAATTAACATTTAAACAGATAATATTACACAAGTAGATTCAATAGACGTGAATATACATATATATTACCCAAATTTTTAATAGTCTAAAGAATATATTACAGACTAGGCATAGAGGCTCATGCCTGTAATTTCAGCACTTTGGGAGGCAAAGGCAGGAGGATTCCTTGAGGTCGGGAGATTGAGACCAGCCTGGGCAACTTAGTGAGACCCTGTATCTACAAAATTAAAAAAAAAATAGCCACCCATAGCTGTGTGTGCCTGTAGTCCCAGCTCCTTTGGATAGCTTGAGCCCAGGAGGTTGAGGCTACAGCACACTGTGGTCATGTCACCGTACTCCAGTCTACACACAGAATGAGATCCTGTCCAAAAAAGAAAGAATATATTACAGCATTAAAAATACAGAAGGAAGTATTTTGTTTTACTTTTAAATTTAAAATTCTTCTGATTGTTCTACACAGAGAGGCTTAAAGGTGAAAAAGCAATCAGCTTACCACCAAATAAAATGTGTCTGGCATGTTCTTGATGTCTCTCCAGCTAAATGGATGGACTATGACAGTTTAGGTTGAATTAACACGGTGGCATTCAGTAATGAGATTTTTATTATCAAATAGAACTGACTGAGAAATGTTAGTTTGTGAGATGTCATTTTGTGATGGCATAATTTTTTCAGAGCTACTCATTAAAACATTCTGAGGTGTAATTGAAAAGTTTAGTTTCCTTCTTACCACAGCATCTGAAATTTCGTCTTTTTTGTTAGTATTAACTGCTACTCCATCAGCAAGAAGAAGTAAACTCATTATTTCACTGGATAAACAATCCATCTCAACATTTATTTTATTTACATCATGGTTTACTTCAATTAAGTGTGGTAATCCAGGGCACTGAGTATGTCCTATTATGCTGTTCCTGCATTCAGGAGTATTTGATAACAAAATCTAAAAGTTGATTTTAAAAAGTCTTTGAGACATCTGGGACTAAATAAATTGATTAATTTACAAATTATTGGTATTACTGTGGGGGAATGGAAATAAAAGTTATAGAAAACATATTTAAGGAAGTAATCGATGTAAACTTTTCAAGTTTAGCAAGAGAGTTAGGCATTGAGGTACAGAAACCCAGTGCTACTCAGACAAACACATTGCAAAAATTACTTTAACATGAAACACTGTATTCAGAATGTCTAAAGTTCAAGTAAAAGAAAGAATTTTAAAATTAACAAGAAAAATGTATCTAGTAAGCTATGAAGGAAACTCTGTTAGATTAACATTGAACTTTCCAGCAGAAACCTTACAGGCCATAAGAGAATGAAACTGCATTTTTAAGGTGCTAAAAGAAAAACACTGTCCACGAAGAATTTTATTTGGAATAAGCTTCACAAATGAAGGAGAAATAAAATTTTATTCATATAAGCAAATGCTAAGTGAATTTGCCACTAGACTAGCAATACAGGAAATGCTCAAAGAAGCCTTAAATATGGAAATGAAAGGTTGACATTCGCTATCATAAAAACCCATGGAAGTATAAAACACACAGTTCTCAGAAAACAAGCACATAAAGGGGGAAGAGAAAGAATGAAATGGCAACATGACAGAATTTTCTGAAACCACAAAGACAAAAAGAGAATAAAAGGGAAACAAAAATTCGTAAAAACAATTTGAAAACAATTAACAATATTACCAGGACAATGAATCACATATTAATATTAATCCTGAATACAAATGGACTAAATGCTGCACTTAAAAAATAGATCGATAGAATGGACTTAAAAAGTGATCCAACTATATCCTGCTTAAAAGAAACTTATCTAACCAATAAAAGTACATACAGATTGAAAGTAAAGGGGTAGAAAAAGATATTTCACACAAATGGAAACAAAAAGTGAGCAGGAGTAGCTATACTTATATCAGCTAAAGTAGACTTTAAATCAGAAACAATTTTAAAAAGACAACGAATGTCATTATATAATAAAGGGATCAATTCAGCAAGAGGCTACAACAGGTCTAAATATATATGTGCCTAACATTGAAGTATCTAAATTTACAAAACAAATATTACTGGACCTAAAAAAATACATAGAAAGCAATACAATAATAGTCAGAGACTTCAACACCCCACTAACAGCTCAAAATAGATCATTAAGACAGAGACTAACAAAGAAAGATTGGACTTAAATTAGATCTTAGATCAAATGGACTAAACAGATATTTACATAACATTCTACACAAGAATTACAGACTACAAAGTATTTTTATCAGTACATGTAACATTTTCTAAGATAGATCTCATATTAGGCTACAAAACAAGTCAATATATTTTAAAAATTAAAACCTCATCAAGTATCTTCTCACACCACAGTGGAATAAAGCTAGAAATGAATACCAAGAGAAACTTTGTGAATTAAACAAATACATAGAAATTAAATAGCATGCTCCTGCACAATCATTGTGTCAGAGGCGTTCAAACCAGAGTGACTCCATTTTGAGTGAGGACCAGGAAAATGACGCCGAGACTTGCTTGGCTGCATTCCCAGAAAATTAGAAATTCCTAGACTCTAGATGCTTACCATTACGGGAACAAATTAATGAAGTTTACTGAAACAGACCCAGACTTGGGCATGTCCAGATATCCCCATATCTGGAGAACAAGGGCATTCCTAATTTTGCTTTAAAGATAATAATATTGATTCTTGCAAAATGTAGTAATTAATCCTTTATCACAAACCCTTGCATCAGAACACATCTCTCCAAGATCTATTTGTATCATATATATATGTATGTGTATATATATGTATATACATATATATGTGTGTATATATATGTATATACATATATATGTGTGTATATATGTATATACATATATGTATGTGTATATATGTATATACATATATATGTGTATATATACATATACACATATATGTATATACATATATACATATGCATACATATATACTTATATACATATATACATATACACATATATACATAAATATACATATACACATATATACATATATATACATATGCACATATATACACATATATACACATAAATATATACATATGCATATGCATATACGTATATACGTATATACATATGCATATGCATATACGTATATACATATATGTATATGCACATGCATATACATATGCATATGTATATATGTATATATATATGTATGTGTATATATATACACACACACACATGCATACACACACACACACACACACACACACACACAAGCATTGTAACTAGGGTGGATGTGTTCCTCCTCTTACTTTCAGGAATGTCCTACTCTATGGAGTAGCTGTTCTTTCACCACTTTACTCTCTTAATAAAGTTGTATTTACTTTGCACTGCAGACTCACCCTGAATTTTTTCCTGTGTGAGATCCAAGAACCATCTCGGGATCTGGATCGGGACCTCTTTCCAATAACAACTGGGTTAATGAAGAAATGAAAAAAATTGTAAAAACATTTGAAATAAATAAAAATAAAAACATGACATCAAAACTTTTGGGATACAGCAAAAGCAGTATTATAAGGGAGGTTTATAGCATTAAATATCTACATCATAAAGGTAAAAAGATTACAAATAACATCACACCTCAAGGAACTAGAAAAACAAGAAAAAGAAATCATCACAAGAGTTAGCAGAAGAAAAGAAATACCAAAGGTCAGAGAAGAACTAAATCAAATTGAGACCAAAAAAAAAAAAAATACAAAAGATGATTGAAATGAAAAATTGGTTCTTCGATAACATAAACAAAATTAATAAACCCATTACCAGATTAACCAAGAAAATGGAGTAGATCCAAATAAACACAATCAGAAATGTAAAAGAAGACATTACAACTGATACCACAGAAATACAAAAGTTCTTCGAAGACTATTATGAACAACTAGAAAACCTAGAGGAAATGGATACATTCCTGGTAACATAGAAGCTTTCCAGATGATTGTACCACAAATAAATAGACCTCTTGAATAGACCAATAATGAGTAGTGAGATTTAATCTGTAATAAAAAACCTCTTCCACAAAAAAAGCCCACAACCAAATGGATTCAGAGCTGAATTCTACCAAACATACAAAGAAAAACTAAAACCAAAACTCTTGAAACTATTCCAAAAAATTGACAAGGAGGGAATTCACCCTAACTCATTCCATGAGGCCAGTATCACCTTGATACCAAAACCAAAGACACATTAAAAAAAATACAGACAGGCAGGGTGTGGTGGCTGATGCCTGTAATCCTAGCACTTGGGGAAGCTGAGGTGGGAGGATCACAAAGTCAGGAGTTCGAGACCAGCCTGGCCAATATGGTGAAACCACGTCTCTACTAACAATACAGAAATTGCGTGGTGGCAGGTGCCTGTAGTCCCAGCTACTCAGGAGGCTGAGGCAGGAGAATCGCTTGAACCTCGGAGGCAGAGGTTGCAGTGAGCCAAGATCCCGCCACTGCACTCCAGTCTGGGTGACAGAGCGAGACTCCATCTCAACAAAAAATAAAAATAAAAATACGGACCAATCATATAGATGCAAAAATCCACAACTAGCAATTCAATTCTATTATCGAATGAATAAGACCTACTATTTGATAGCACAACAAGGTGACTAAAATCAACAATAACTTAATTGTACATTTTAAAATAACTTAAAGGGTGTAATTGGATTGTTTGTAACTCAAAGGATAAATGCTTGAAGAAATGGATACCCCATTTTCTGTGAAGTGATTAATTATTTCATATTGCATGCCTCTATCAAAACATTTTATATACCCCATAAATATACACACCCACTATGTGCTCATAAAAATTAAAAATTAAAAATCTATAAAAATAAAATAATAAAAATCTTCCACTTAAAAAATAAAATGTAAAAAAGGCTGAAATAATTCTCTTTTAAATTACTGATGCTTTTTTGTACATAATTATTTGACAAATTTGCCATTCTTTAAAAACTGTGTTTTTTTGTCAGTGTAGGCAGACAGGGAAATGTGTCACTCAGATCTTTTGCTCTGGGAAGTGTAGTTGGCTGAAAATCCTAGCCACTGTTCCTCTAGATATATCTCTGCTTTGTGCTGAGTCCACATTTCTTCTGGAATACCTCAGTCAATAACAGACTATGAGTATTCTCTGTGGGACATAGCACTATTTTATGGCCTGACCAAATCTTTTTCAAAGCTGTGCTACAGTCTGGATCTTTTCATATTCAATCCACCTCCCTATGGTTTGTTCTTTCACAGGTTTCGGTATTACTGTATGAAGATTATCTCTGCTTTTTTCTGTTTATCTTCCATAAACATTACTTTAAACATATGTCTTGAATATCTAATCTCATATTGGCATCTGCTCTCAAGAAAACCAAAATAACAGTCAGGTTTCTAAACTTTTTCAAGACAATAGCAATTATATCCCTAACTTGACTTGCTGGGAAATAATATAGCTTTCATAATTAACTGGTAAATAAGAAGGGTTATAAATCAGGTACTTATTAGTAAGCACGACTTGAAATTTAGCATTGCTGTCTTAGCAAATTTCAGTAGAAAGAGGCAATATCTATGCAAAATTGTTTAAAGAATCCTTAGTCAATCAAATTTCCATATCAGAGGTTGGCAAACTTATGGATCTGTTTTTGTATGGCCTGGGAGCTAAGAAAGTCTTTTACAGTTTTTAAGGGCTGTAAAACAAACTAATATAAAATAAACAGAAAACAAAAAAAGCAAAGAATATGAGTTTGAGACCATATGGCTCGCAATATTTAAACTATTCACTATTTAAAGAAAGTGTTTTCTGATCCCAGATTTATATGCTTTTAAATATATTCTTGGATTAAGCAATATCAGAAAATAATGCTTTACATTTTTGTGAAAGGGGAAAAGTCAAGCTAGAAACTGCTTAGGGCCAACCTGCCTCCCATGCTTTTCAAAGTCACTCCTCTGCTCACTGAGATAAATGCATATCTGATTCCCTCCTTGGGAGAGGCTAATCAGAAATTCAAAAGAATGCAGCTATTTGTCTCTTACCTACCTATGACCTGGAAGTCCTCTCCCTGCTTTCAGTCTTCCCACCTTTGCTTTGAGTTGTCCCTTTCCAGACCAAACCAATGCTCATCTTGGAAATGTTGATTGATGTCTCATGTCTCCCTGGAATCCATAAAATCAAACAGTGCTCTGACCACTTTGGGAACATATTGTCAGGATCTCATGAGGCTGTGTCACAGGCCTGCATCCTCTACCTTGGCAAAATAAACTTTTTAAATTAACTGAGACCTGTCTCAGATTTTTGGGGTTCACATTTTCTACTTGAAAGCTTAAGTCACATTTGCATCCTGGTATGGAAAATATACTACGTAATTTTAACATGCATCTTTAAGCCATTGTCACTTCTGACCTTATCTTATTTATCTTCTATCACTATTTCAATTATATACTAATTTCAAGTTTTATTTTATCTTAACATATTTATTTGTTATATACTTTTAACATTTTAGCTTGGATCTCCTACTCTCCACCTCTGAAAGGGTATGGATTAAGAGCATTGTGAAATTTAATGATCTATGAAAAAGTATGAATTTGCTCAAATTACTTGATGCTTTCTGTAGCTAAATAATATATACAGGTTATATTATATCTGTACCAAATGGAAGTACAACATAGAGGAAATAAACAAGGGCTGAGATATAAGCCTCTTCATAGAACCCCAATTTTTTGCGATACATAAAATCTAAAGGATTTCAACAGTTGCTTCTATACATAGATATTATTATCTATAATAGGTGTTGTTAACCAGGGTTTATGACTGCTTTGGGGTACAGTAATAAATGTTGGGTAATTTGTGATGATCTTGATGTTGTATACAAAATTTGTTATATACATATGTGATCATGTTTATAAGAAAATGAACAATAGCTTACATCACATTTCTAAAAGTTCTGAAACTCCTAGAAGTTGATTTTGTTGTCAGAATAGGATAGAGTCAACAGTCAAACCCAAAGATCATCTCAAGCTGGAATCCAGAGCATTCTTGAGGTTCTTAGTCTGAACTGGTTTCATAGGTCTGATTTAAAAAAAAAAAAAAAAAAAAAAACAAAAAAAACCTTTAATTTTATGCCGAAAGACAGATTATAAAGATCTTCAAGCTGTAGGACTTTTTTTTTTGGCTTTTCCAGATTGTCACAGGAATGTGGCACCTTAAATTCCTGTGACATAACATATGCTCGTGTTATTATTTTTATTTTCTCCAGTGTGAATTCTTCTATTTGTTACATATGCTAACTTTGCCTTGTAGTGGTGAGATTTGGGAGGTATTTTGTAATTTTTATTAGTAAGATCATCCTCATAGGATTTATTGTCTTAATTTTTTGGCTGAAAATTGTTACATAAGTTGGTAATTTCAGCCCTCAAACACACATGGTTGAAACACATAGTGATGTTGGTTTATTGCAGATGAATTCCTTAGACTCATATTTCAGGACAAAAAATTCACTAGTAATCCATTTTTTGAGGCCGGGAAAAAGAGTCTTCCTTATCCACATTTAGGGTCACACATGTCACAATCATTTTCACACTTCTGGATATATAGAGGGGAGGACTTTCAGGAATCCAACACACAAATAGACTATAGGCTCAGTTCCAATCCTCACTTGTGTGTAAATATCCCTTTTCCTGAAAACACTGTTTCTCAATTGAGAATGTATCTGTCCCTCCTTCCCTAGGCTGACGGAGTTTGACAATGTTTGAGTCAGGGTAAAATCTAGAACTGGGGGGTCTGAAGTTTTATACAACTCTTAATGTCTTTTAAAGAATAATAGAAATTTACAAATACAAAATTAGGTACAGGGATCTGGGAGGAGTTCATTTAATGGCAGACCCTTAAATTTGAGCTTCATTAACCTCGTAATAAATTTTCTTCTAGTTGATGCATTATTACTTGTTGCAATGACTATTGGATCTTATTGGCATTTAGTGTGAATGGGTCCAGAAAAGCCAAATATCCTGAAATGTATGAGATATTTTGGCCAAAAAAAAAAATAACTATCCTGGGGAATATGTCAATTATCTCAGAGTTTCATAAAGGATTACATCCCTCTAATTAATGGCTATAAGTTTCTTATTAGATTATGTATGTTACCTGAAGACTGTGTCTTCTTGCTTTCAAGCTTACTTATTAATTTTTTAAAAATATAAAGGATTTTTTATCCTGAGTTTTTTTATTTCAACTTTTACTTTAGGTATAGGGGGTACTTGTGCAGGTTTGTTACAGGGGTGTATTGCATGCAGGATATTGGGCCTAGTATCTAATAAGTAGTTTTTCAACCCAAGCCCCACACTCTCTCCTGACTAGTAGTCTCTAGTATCTATTATTCCCATGTTTATGTCCATGTGTACACAATGTTGAGCTCCCACTTACAAGTGAGAACATGCAGTATTTGATTTTTGGTTTTTGTGTTAGTTCACTTAGAATTATGGCCTCCAGCTTTATCCATGTTGCTGCAAAAGACATAATTTAATTTTTTTTATGGCTGCATAGTATTCTATGGTGTATATGTATGACATTTTTTTCATTCAACCTACCACTGATGGGCACTAGGTTAATTGCATGTCTTTGCTATTGTGAAGAGCCTAGCAATGAACATATGAGTGCATGTGTCTTTTGATTTAATGATCTATTTTCCTTTGTGTATATATTCAGTAGCAGTATTAATGGGTCAAATGGTAGCTCTGTGTTATTTAAGAAATAGCTAAGTTATTTAAGAAAGCTCTCAACTACTTTCCGTAGTGTCTGAACTAATTTACATTCCCATCAACAGTGTATAAGCATTTCTTTTCTTCCACAACCTCACCAATATCTGCTGTTTTTTATTTTTTAAGAACAGGCATGATTTTGCAGTGGCTGGTACTGGTCGGTTGTGCCTTTCCATGTTTAGTGCTTCCTTCAGGAGCTCTTTTAGGGCAGGCCTGGTGGTGACAAAATCTCTCAGGATTTGCTTTCTGTCAAGGATTTTATTTCTCCTTCACTTATGAACCTTAGTTTGGCTGGATATGAAATTCTGGGTTGAAAATTATTTTCTTTAAGAATGTTGAATATTGGCCCCCACTCTCTCTGGCTTCTAGAGTTTCTGCCAAGAGATCCGCTGTTAGTCTGATGGGCTTCCCTTTGTGGGTAACCCGACCTTTCTCTCTGGCTGCCCTTAACATTTTTTCCTTCATTTCAACTTTGGTGAATCTGACAATTATGTGTCTTGGAGTTGCTCTTCTCAAGGAGTATCTTTGTGGTGTTCTCTGTATTTCCTGAATCTGAATATTGGCCTGCCTTGCTAGATTGGGGAAGTTCTCCTGGATAATATCCTGCAGAGTGTTTTCCAACTTGGTTCCATTCTCCCTATCACTTTGAGGTAAACCAATCAGATGCAGATTTGGTCTTTTCACATGGTCCCATATTTCTTGGAGGCTTTGCTCATTTCTTTTTATTCTTTTTTCTCTAAACTTCCCTTCTCGCTTCATTTCATTCATTTCATCTTCCATCACTGATACCCTTTCTTCCAGTTGATTGCATCAGTTCCTGAGGCTTCTGCATTCTTCACTTAGTTCTCGAGCCTTGGCTTTCACCTCCATCAGCTCCTTTAAGCACTTCTCTGTATTGGTTATTCTAGTTATACATTCATGTAAATTTTTTTCAAAGTTTTCAACTTCTTTGCCTTTAGTTTGAATTTCCTCCTGTAGCTCGGAGTAGTTTGATCGTCTGAAACCTTCTTCTCTCAAATCGTCAAAGTCATTCTCCATCCAGCTTTGTTCCATTGCTGGTGAGGAACTGCGTTCCTTTGGAGGAGGAGAGGTGCTCTGCTTTTTAGAGTTTCCAGTTTTTTCCCCATCTTTGTGGTTTTATCTACTTTTGGTCTTTGATGATGATGTTGTACAGATGGGTTTTTGGTGTGGATGTCCTTTCTGTTTGTTAGTTTTCCTTCTAACAGACAGGACCCTCAGCTGCGGGTCTGTTGGAGTTTGCTAGAGGTCCACTCCAGACCCTGTTTGCCTGGGTATCAGCAGCAGTGTCTGCAGAACCACGGATTTTTGTGATCCGCGAATGCTGCTATCTGATCTTTCCTCTGGAAGTTTTGTCTCAGTGGAGTACCTGGCCGTGTGAGGTGACAGTCTGCCCCTACTGGGGGGTGCCTCCCAGTTAGTCTGCTCTGGGGTCAGGGGTCAGGGACCCACTTGAGGAGGCAGTCTGCCTGTTCAAAATAAAAGGATGGAGGAAGATCTACCAAGCAAATGGAAAACAAAAAAAAGCAGGGGTTGCAATCCTAGTCTCTGATAAAACAGACTTTAAACCAACAAAGATCAAAAGAGACAAAGAAGGCCATTACATAATGGTAAAGGGATCAATTCAACAAGAAGAGGTAACTATCCTAAATACATATGCACCCAATACAGGAGCACCCAGATACATAAAGCAAGTCCTGAGTGACCTACAAAGAGACTTAGACTACCAAACAATAATAATGGGAGACTTTAACACCCCAGTGTCAACATTGGACAGATCAACGAGACAGAAAGTTAACAAGGATACCCAGGAATTAAACTCAACGCTGCACCAAGCGGACCTAATAGACATCCACAGAACTCTCCACCCCAAATCAACAGAATATACATTTTTTTCAGCACTGTACCACACCTATTCCAAAATTGACCACATAGTTGGAAGTAAAGCTCTCCTCAGCAAATGTAAAAGAACAGAAATTATAACAAACTGTCTCTCAGACCACAGTGCAATCAAACTAGAACTCAGGATTAAGAAACTCACTCAAAACCGCTCAACTACATGGAAACTGAACAACCTGCTCCTGAATGACTACTGGGCACATAACGAAATGAAGGCAGAAATAAAGATGTTCTTTGAAACCAACGAGAACAAAGACACAACATACCAGAATCTCTGGGACACATTCAAAGCATTGTGTAGAGGGAAATTTCTAGCACTAAATGCCCACAAGAGAAAGCAGGAAAAATCCAAAATTGACACCCTAACATCACAATTAAAAGAACTAGAAAAGCAAGAGCAAACACATTCAAAAGCTAGCAGAAGGCAAGAAATAACTAAAATCAGAGCAGAACTGAAGGAAATAGAGACACAAAAAACCCTTCAAAAAATTAATGAATCCAGGAGCTGGTTTTTTGAAAGGATCAACAAAATTGATAGACAGCTAGCAAGACTAATAAAGAAAAAAAGAGAGAAGAATCAAATAGATGCAATAAAAAATGATCAAGGGGATATCACCACCGACCCCACAGAAATACAAACTACCATCAGAGAATACTACAAACAACTCTACGCAAATAAACTAGAAAATCTAGAAGAAATGGATAAATTCCTCGACACATAGACTCTCCCAAGACTAATCCAGGAAGAAGTTGAATCTCTGAATAGACCAATAACAGGATCTGAAGTTGTGGCAAGAATCAATAGCTTACCAACCAAAAGGAGTCCAGGACCAGATGGATTCACAGCTGAATTCTACCAGAGGTACAAGGAAGAACTGGTACCATTCCTTCTGAAACTATTCCAATCAATAGAAAAAGAGGGAATCCTCCCTAACTCATTTTATGAGGTCAGCATCATCCTGATACCAAAGCCGGGCAGAGACACAACCAAAAACAGAATTTAGACCAATATCCTTGATGAATATTGATGCAAAAATCCTCAATAAAATACTGGCAAACTGAATCCAGCAGCACATCAAAAAGCTTATCCAACATGATCAAGTGGGCTTCATCCCTGAGATGCAACCCTGGTTCAATATACACAAATCAATAAATGTAATCCAGCATATAAACAGAACCAAAGACAGAAACCACACGATTATCTCAATAGATGCAGAAAAGGCCTTTGACAAAGTTCAACAACACTTCATGCTAAAAACTCTCGATAAATTAGGTATTGATGGGATGTATTTCAAAATAATAAGAGCTATCTATGACAAACCCACAGCCAATATCATACTGAATGGGCAAAAACTGGAAGCATTCCCTTTGAAAACTGGCAAAAGACAGGGATGCCCTCTCTCACCACTCCTATTCAACATAGTGTTGGAAGTTCTGGCCAGGACAATCAGGCAGGAGAAGAAAATAAAGGGTATTCAATTAGGAAAAGAGGAAGTCAAATTGTCCCTGTTTGCAGATGACACGATTGTATATCTAGAAAAGCCCATTGTCTCAGCCCAAAATCTCCTTAAGCTGATAAGCAACTTCAGCAAAGTCTCAGGATACAAAATCAATGTACAAAAATCACAAGCATTCTTATACACCAATAACAGACAAACACAGAGCCAAATTATGAGTGAACTCCCATTCACTATTGCTTCAAAGAGAAAAAAATACTTAGGAATCCAACTTACAAGGGACATGAAGGACCTCTTCAAGGAGAACTACAAACCACTGCTCAATGAAATAAAAGAGGATACAAACAAATGGAAGAACATTCCATGCTCATGGGTAGGAAGAATCAATATCGTGAAAATGGCCATACTGCCCAAGGTAATTTATAGATTCAATGCCATCCCCATCAAGCTACCAATGACTTTCTTTACAGAATTGGAAAAAACTACTTTAAAGTTCATGTGGAACCAAAAAAGAGCCTGCATCACCAAGTCAATCCTAAGCCAAAAGAACAAATCCGGAGGCATCACGCTACCTGACTTCAAACTATACTACAAGGCTACAGTAACCAAAACAGCATGGTACTGGTACCAAAACAGAGATACAGATCAATGGAACAGAACAGAGCCCTCAGAAATAACGCCGCATATCTACAACTATCTGATCTTTGACAAACCTGAGAAAAACAAGCAATGGGGAAAGGATACCCTATTTAATAAATGGTGCTGGGAAAACTGGCTAGCCATATGTAGAAAGCTGAAACTGGATCCTTCCTTACACCTTATACAAAAATTAATTCAAGATGGATTAAAGACTTAAATGTTAGACCTAAAATCATAAAAACCCTAGAAGAAAACCTAGGCATTACCATTCAGGACATAGTCATGGGCAAGAACTTCATGTCTAAAACACCAAAAGCAATGGCAACAAAAGTCAAAATTGACAAATGGGATCTCATTAAACTAAAGAGCTTCTGTACAGCAAAAGAAACTACCATCAGAGTGAACAGGCAACCTACAAAATGGGAGAAAATTTTCACAACCTACTCATCTGACAAAGGGCTAATATCCAGAATCTACAACGAACTCAAACAAATTTACAGGAAAAAAACAAACAACCCCATCAAAAAGTGGGCAAAGGATATAAACAGACACTTCTCAAAAGAAGACATTTGTGCAGCCAAAAGACACATGAAAAAAATGCTCATCATCACTGGCCATCAGAGAATTGCAAATCAAAACCACAATGAGACACCATCTCACACCAGTTAGAATGGCAATCATTAAAAAGTCAGGAAACAACAGGTGCTGGAGAGGATGTGGAGAAATAGGAACACTTTTACACTGTTGGTGGGACTGTAAACTAGTTCAACCATTGTGGAAGTCAGTGTGTTATGTTAGAAATCCCTAGATTCCTCAGGGATCTAGAACTAGAAATACCATTTGACCCAGCCATCCCATTACTGGGTATATACCCAAAGGATTATAAATCATGCTGCTATAAAGACACATGCACAGGTATGTTTATTGCGGCACTATTCACAATAGCAAAGACTTGGAACCAACCCAAATGTCCAACAATGATAGACTGGATTAAGAAAATGTGGCACGTATACACCATGGAATACTATGCAGCCATAAAGAATGATGAGTTCATGTCCTTTGTAGGGACATGGATGAAATTGGAAATCATCATTCTCAGTAAACTATCGCAAGGACAAAAAACCAAACACCACATGTTCTCACTCATAGATGGGAATTGAACAATGAGAACACATGGACACAGGAAGGGGAACATCACACTCTGGGGACTGTTGTGGGTTGGGGAAGGGGCAAGGGATAGCATTAGGAGATATACCTAATGCTAAATGTTGAGTTAATGGGTGCAGCACACCAGCATGGCACATGTATACATATGTAACTAACCTGCACATTGTGCACATGTACCCTAAAACTTAAAGTATAATAATAAAAAAAAAAATGAAAGAAACATAGGAAAAAAAAAAAAAGAACAGGCATTCTGACCAGTGTAAGATGGTATCTCATTGTGGTTTTGATTTACATTTCTCTAATGATTAGTATTTTTATATGTAATTTTTGACTGCATGTATGTCTTTTGTCTATGATTATATTATGCCCATTTTTTAATGTTTTTATTTGTTTTTTAAACTATTGAATTGCTTAAGTTCCTTGTAGTTTCTGGATATTAGACCTTTTCAGATGTGTAGTTTGCAAATATTTTCTCCCATTGTGTAGGTAGTCTGTTTACTCTATTAATAGTTTCTTTAGCTGTGTGGAAGATTTTAATTATGTACCAGTTGCCAATTTTTGGCATATATTTGCAATTGCTTTTGAGAACTCAGCCAAAAATTATTTGCCAAGGCCCGTGTTGAGGAGGATATTTCCTAGGTTTTCTTCTAAGTTTTTTATAGACTGATATCTTAAATTTAATTAATTCATCTTGGAGTAATTTTTGTAGATGATGAAAGGCAAGAGTACAGTTTCATTCTTCTGCATTTATAACTAGCCAGTTATCCCAGCAGTATATATTGAATAGGTAGTGCTTTTCCCATTGCTTGGTTTTGTCGGCCTTGTTGATGATCAGATAATTGTAAGTGTGTGGTTTTACTTCTGAGTTTACTACTCTTTTCCATTAATCTATGTGTCTGTTTTTATATTAATATTTTCATTCGCTTCCGTGTGAAGAGACCACCAAATAGGCTTTGTGTGAGCAATAAAGCTGTTTATTTCACCTGGATGCAGGTGGGCTGAGTCTGAAAAGGGTCAGTGAAGGGAGATGGGAGTGGGGCAGTTTTATAGGATTTGAGTAGGTAAAGGAAAATTACAGTCAAAGGGGGGTTGTTCTCTGGCAGGCAGAGTGGGGGTCACAAGGTGCTCAGTAGGGGAGCTTTTGAGCCAGGATGAGCCAGGAGAAGGAATTTCACAAGACAATGTCATCAGTTAAGGCAGGAACAGGCCATTTTCACTTCTTTTGTGGTGGAATGTCATCAGTTAAGGCAGGAACCAGCCATCTGGATGTGTACTTGTAGGTCACAAGGGATATGATGGCTTAGCTTGGGCTCAGAGGCCTGACATTCCTGTCTTCTTATATTAATAAGAAAAACAAAATGAAATAGTGGTAAAGTGTTGGGATGGTGAAAATTTTTGGGGGTGGTATGGAGAGATAATGGGCAATGTTTCTCAGGGCTGCTTCGAGCAGCATTAGGGGTGGCGTGGGAACCTAGAGTGGGAGAGATTAAGCTGAAGGAAGATTTTGTGGTAAGGGGTGATATTGTGGGACTGTTAGAAGAAACATTTGTCATTTAGAATTATTGGTGATGGCCTGGATATGGTTTTGTATGAATTGAAAAACTAAACGGAATAAGAGAAGGAGAAAAACAGGTATTAAAGGTCTAAGAATTGGGAGGACCTAGGACATCTAATTAGAGTGCCTGAGGAAATTCACCATAGTCCTGTCAGCAAAGATTATTTATTTACTTCAAGAGTTAAGAGTGGCAGTTTGGGGGATAGCACCAGGAGATATCAGCTGTGATGGCTTGGAGAAACAGTGTAAACCGGCAGTGTAAACAAGAGTAGGGCATGTATGAGTAGGTGAGAACAGTGAATAGGAGTATGACTAGACAGAAGATAGTAGGGATGACAAGTTTTTTGGGGGCACGGTCCAGGTTGGTCTGGTGTCTGGAATGAGACTGGGGCCTAATAAAAAGGAGTGTCTATACAGGAGCTCAAATGGGCTATACCCTGTAGCATTCTGAGGACAGGCCTGAATTCTGAGAAGGGAAAGTGGTAAAAGTATTGTCCAGTCCTTTTTAAGTTGGTGGCTGAGCTTGGTGAGGTGTGTTTTTAAAAGACCATTAGTCTGTTCTACTTTTCCTGAAGACTGAGGACTGTAAGGGATATAAAGGTTTCACTGAATACTAAGAGCCTGAAAAAATGCTTGTCTTATTTGACTAATAAAGGCTGGTCTGTTATCAGACTGTATAGAGGTGGGAAGGCTAAACTGAGGAATTATGTCTGACAGGAGGGAAGATATGACTGCGGTGGCCTTCTGAGGCCCTGTAGGAAAGGCCTCTACCTATCTAGTGAAAGTGTCTACTTAGACTAAGAGGTATTTTAGTTTTTGTGACTTGGGTCATGTTGAGTAAAGCTAATTTGCCAGTCCTGGGTGGGGGCAAATCCTCGAGCTTGATGTGTAGGGAAGGGAGGGGGCCTGAATAATCCCTGAGGAGTAGTAGAGTAGCAGATGGAACACTGAGAAGTTATTTCCTTGAGGATAGATTTCCACAATGGAAAGAAAATGAGAGGTTCTAAGAGGCGGGCTAGTTGCTTGTACTATAGCATAGCCTGCCTTTGCTGGTGTGTGGTGATTAGGCCTGGTGGAACTGCCATCAATAAATCAAGCGTGATCAGGGTGAGGAACAGGAAAGAAGGAAATATGGGGAAATGGGGTGAATGTCAGGTGGATCAGAGAGATACAGTCATGTGGGTCAGGTGTGGTATCAGGAATAATGTGGGAGGCCGGAATGAAGTCTGGGCCAGGAACAATGGTAACTGTGGGACTTAACAAAGAGTGAGTACAGCTGAAGGAGCCAGGGAGCAGAAAGTATATGCATCAGGTATGAGGAAGAAAATCAATTTTGGAAGTTATGAGAAATGTAGAGAGTAAGTTGAGCATAGTTTCTGATTTTGAGGGCCTCTAGAAGTATTAGGGTGGCAGCAGCCACTGCACGGAGACATGATGGCTAGGCTAAAACAGTAAGGTCAAATTGTTTGGACAGAAAGGCTACAGGGTGCGGTCCTGGCTCTTGTGTAAGAATTCTGACCACACTAATCATGGCTAGGAAGGAAAGGAATGTTGTTTTGTAAGGGATTGAGGTTTGGGAGATTAATCGGACATGATCAGCAGGGAAAGCACGTGTGTTTTTATGAGAATTATGCCAAGATAGGTAACAGATGAGGATGAAATTTGGGCTTGACTGAAGTAATGGGGGCTGTCTGTGAAGCCTTGCGGCAGTACAGCCCAGGTAATTTGCTGAGCCTAATGGGTGTCAGGGTCAGTCTAAGTGAAAGCAAAGAGAGGCTGGGACAAGGGGTGCAGGCGAATAGTGAAAAAACCATCTTTAAGATCAAGAACAGAATAGTGAGTTGTGGAGGAAGGTAATGAGGACAAAAGAGTGTATGGGTTGGGCACCACAGTGTGGATAGGCAAAACAATTTGGTTGATAAGGCGCAGATCCTGAACGAATCTGTAAGACTTGTCCAGTTTTTGGACAGGTAAAATGGGGGAATTGTAAGGAGAGTTTATAGGTTTTAGAAGCCCATGCTGTAGCAGGCGAATGATAACAGGTTTTAATCCTTTTAAAGCGTGCTGTGGGATGGGATATTGGTGTGCAGTGGGGTAAGGGTGATTAGATTTTAATGAGATGGTAAGGGGTGCATGATCAGTCACCAAGGAGGGAGTAGAGGTATCTTATACTTGTGGGTTAAGGTGGGGGAATACAAGAGGAGGATGCAAAGGAGGCTTTGGATTGGGAAGAAGGGCAGCAATGAGATGTAGCTATAATCCAGGAATAGTCAAGGAAGCAGATAATTTAGTTAAAGTGTCTCAGCCTAATAAGGGAACTGGGCAGGTGGGGATAACTAAAAGGAGTGCTTAAATGAGTGTTGTCTAGGTTGGCACCAAGAGTGGGGGAGTTTTAAGAGGTTTAGAAGCCTGGCTGTCAATACCCACAACAGTTAGGGAGGCAAGGGAAACAGGCCCTTGAAAAGAAGGTAATGTGGAGTGGGTAGCCTCCGTAATGATTAAGAAGGGGACAGACTTACCTTCCACTGTGACAGTTATCCAAAGCTCAGCATCTGTGACGGTCTAGGGGGCTTCCGAGGTGATCAGGCAGTGTCAGTCTTCAGCCGTTAAGCCAAGAAGATCTGGGAAGGAGTCAGAGAGCCTTGGGCCAGAGTTCCAGGGGCTCTGGGAGTGGCTGCCAGGTGAGTTGGACAGTATGATTTCCAGTGGGGTCCTGCACAGATGGGATGTGGCTTAGGAGGAATCCTGGGCTGCAGGCATTCCTTGGCCTGGTGGCCAGATTTCTGGCACTTGTAGCAAGCTCCTCAGGGAGGAGGTTCTGGAGGAATGCCTGGCTGCTGCGATTCAGGCGTTTGGAAGTTCTTGTTTGCTGGAGATGTGGCTGGGGTTTGTCTCACAGTGGAAGCAAGGAATTGCAACTTTTTTCTATTATTGTACACCTTGAAGGCGAGGTTAATTAAATCCTGTTGTGGGGTTTGAGGGCCAGAATTTAATTTTTTGAGTTTTATTTAATGTCAGGAGCAGATTGGGTAATAAAATGTATTTTGAGAATAAGATGGCCTTTTGACCTTTTAGGGTCTAGGGCTATAAAGTATCTCAGCGTTGCTGCCAAATGAGTCATGAACTGGGCTGGATTTTTATATTTGATGAAAAAGAGCCTAAATGCTATCTGATTTGGAATAAAGAAAAGGGAGCATTAACCTTGACTATGGCTTTAGCTCCAGCCACCTTTTTAAGAGTAAATTGCTGGGCAGGTGGGGGATGGCTAGTCACAGAATGAAACTGTAAGCTGGACCAGGTGTGAGGAGGGGAGGTGATAAAAGGATTATTGGGTGGAGGAGCGGAGGCTGAGGAAGAATTGGGACCTAGCTCGGCCTGGTGAGGAGCAGTCTGGGGAGGAGGGGAGAGGTCAGATGGGTCTGTAGAAAAGGGAGATTAGAAAGACTCAGCGATGCTGGGGGTTGGGATGGAGGGGACAGGTGGGAGGGAAAGAAGGAAGTTTTGGGATGAGTTGCACTGGGCACAGAAACTAGGAAGGGACCGATGTGTAAAATAATTCCTGGACATCAGGCACCTCAGACCATTTGCCTATTTTATGACAATAATTATTTAGAACTTGCAGGGTGGAAAAATTGAAAGTGCCATTTTCTGGCTATTTGGAACTACTGTCAAGTTTGTATTGGGGTCAAGTGGCATTGCAGAAGACAATAACATGCTTAGATTTTAGATCAGGTGAGAGTTGAAGAGGTTTTAAGTTCTTAAGAACACAGGCTAAGGGAGAAGAAGGAGGAATGGAGGGTGGAAGGTTGCAAATAGTGAAGGAGGCAAGCCCAGAGAAAAGAGAGAGTAGAGACACAGAGGGAAGGGGTTTGGGAGTTCTTACCCTCCAGAAAAGTGGGAAAGGGGTTGGGACACAGAGATACGATGTCAGGGCATGGAAATAAGGGATTGGGGCACAGAGATATAAGAGGTTGGGGTGTGGAAATAAGGGATCGGGGTGCAGAGATATAAGGGGTTGGGGTACTTGCCCCTCCCCTAGAAAAGCGGGACTTGCCACTAAGGGTGAAGGAGAAGGGGTTGGGGGTCTCTTGCCCCCCAGAAAGGTGGAGAAGGGGTAGAGACACAGAGAGAAGGGGTTGGGGTACTTGCCCCTTCCCCAGAAAAGTGGGACTTGTCGCTAAGGTTGAAGGATCAAGGCAGGCGTCCCTGCATGGTCTGACACCTCTGAAACCTGGGTGAATAATCAGAGAGGCATCCCTGCAATTAGTAAACACCAAGGGAAGGCTGCCTTCCCTAGTCTGTGACCGGCACTGGAGTTTTGGGTCCACAGATAAAACATGTCTCCTTTGTCTCTACCAGAAAATGAAAGGAATTGAAATTAAGAGAATGGAGAGATTGAAGTGTGGCACCAAGATTGAAAGGAGAACGAGGTTGAGGGATAGTGAAGGGGGCTGGAGAAGAGAGTAAAAAGAGGCCGCTTACCTGATTTAAAATTGGTGAGATGTTCCTTGGGCTGGTGGGTCTGAGGACCTGAGGTCGTAGGTGGATGTTTTTCATGGAGCAAAGAACAGGAGGACAGGGGATTGATCTCCCAAGGGAGGTCCTCTGATCTGAGTCATAGCACTAAATTTCATGCACGTCCATGTGAAGAGACCACCAAACAGGCTTTGTGTGACCAATAAAGCTGTCTATTTCACCTGGGTGCAGGTGGGCTGAGTCCGAAAAGAGAGTCAGCGAAGGAAGATAGGGGTGGGGTTGTTTTATAGGATTTGGGTAGGTAAAGGAAAATTACAGTCAAACGGGGTTGTTCTCTGGCAGGCAGAGTGGGGGTCACAAGGTGCTCAGTAGTGGAGCTTTTGAGCCAGAATGAGCCAGGAGAAGGAATTTCACAAGACAATGTCATCAGTTAAGACAGGAACAGGACATTTTCACTTCTTTTGTGGTGGAATGTCATCAGTTAAGGCAGGAACCGGCCATCTGGATGTGTAAGTGCAGGTCACAGGAGTTATGATGGCTTAGCTTAGGCTCAGAGGCCTGACAAATATCATGGTGTTTTGTTTTACTGTAGCCTTATAATATAGTTTGAACTCAGTTTGTATGATGTGTCTGGCTGTGTTCTTTTTGCTTAGGCTACTTGGGTTCTTTTTTAAGTTCCATATAATGTTTAGAATAGTTTTTTTTCTAATTCTGTGAAGAATGACATTGGTAGTTTGATAGGACTAGCAGTGAATTTGTAAATTGCTTTGGGCAGTATGGCCATTTTTATTATATTGATTCTTCCAATCCATGAGCACAGAATTTTTTTTTAATTTATTTGTGATGTCTCTGATTTCTTTCAGCAACGTTTTTTAGTTCTCCTGGGAGAGATCTTTCACTTTCTTGGTTAGTTGTATACCTAGATATTTCATTTTCTTTGTAGCTATTGTAAGTGGGATTGTGTTCTTGATTTGGGTCACACCCTAGACATTTTGGTCTATAAAAATGCCACTGATTTTTGTACAGTGACTTTTTTGTACTCTGAAACATTATCAAAATTATTTTCCAGATTTGGTTGCCTTTCTGTGGAGTCTTTAGTATTTTCTAGGTATGGAATCATAATGTCAGGAAAAATAGCTTGACTTATTCTTTTCCTATTTAGATTTTTTTTATTTCTTTCTCTTGCCTAAGAGAAAGCTGGGGCTTTCAGTACTATGTTAAATAGGAGGAGTGAGAGTGGACATCCTTGCCTTGTTCAACTTTTCAAGAAAAATGTTTCCATTTTTGGTAAGTTGTGTCCCTATTTTCATTAATTTCAATTATTTTTATTTCTGACGTAAATTTGATGTCCACCCAGGAGTAATTTAGGAGCAAGTTGTTCAATTTCCAAATTATTTGTGTGGTTTTGAGAGATTTTCTTGATATTCATTTGTATTTTTATTGCATTGTTGCCTGAGGTTGTTAACTGGTATGATTTCAACTGTTTCGAATTTGTTGAGACATGCTTTATGATCAAGCATGTGGTTGTCTTAGAATTTGTTCCGTGTGCAGGTGAAAATAATGTATACTCTGTGGTTGTTTGATGTAGTGTTCTGTAGACGTGTATCATGTCCATTTGGTCAAGTGTACTGTTTAACTCTAATGTTTCTTTGACAGTTTTCTCCCTCAATTCTCTTTGGGGTTTTGAAATCTCCCACTATTATTGTGTGGTTTTCTAAGTCTTCTCATAGGCCAAGAAGAACTTGTTTTATAAATGTGAGTGCATATTTATTTAGGTGCCTACATATTTAGAATAGTTAAGTTTTCTTGTTGGTACTCTGTATTATTATGTATGCCCTTCTTCAAGAATATCAACTCCTACTTTTTGTTGTTGTTTTCCACTTGCATGATAGATCTTTCTTCGTCTCTTTACTTTGAGCTTGTGTGTTTCACTGCATGTGAGCTGGGTCTCTTGTAGACTGTAGATAGTTAGGTCTTATCTTTTTTTCCAGTTTGCTACTCCATGTCTTTTATGTGGGGGCATTTAGCCCATTTACATTCAGGGTTAGTATTGATATGTAAGATTTTGATTCTGTCATCATGTTGTAAGCTGGTTATTCTGTAGACTTGTTTGTGTGATTATTTTATAGTGTCTGTGATCTTTGTACTTAGGTATGTTTTTGTGCTAGCCTTTTATTCCCCCTTTGGTTCCATGTGTAGCACTCTCTCAAGAACCTCTTGTAAGGCTGGTCTGGTTGGAATAAATTCCCTTAGTATTTGTCTGTCTGAGAAGAATTTATTCCTCCTTTACTTATGAATCTTAGTTTTGAAGAATATGAATTCTTGCTTGGAATTTCTTTTCTTTAAGGATCCTGAAAATAGGTCTGCAATCACTTATGTTTATAATGTTTCTGCTGAGATGTCTGCTGCTAGCTGAATGAGTTTGCTGTGTATATGACTTTATCCTTCTCTCTAGCTTCCTTTAAGCCTTTTTTATTTTGCGTTGAGCTTGTTGAATCTGATGACTATGTGCCTTAGTGGTTGGTCATCTTGTAAAATATCTAGCTGAAATTCTTTCTATTTCTTGGATTTGAATGTCCATCTCTCTAGTGAGAGTAGAGAAATGTTCATGGACTATATCCTCAAATATATTTTCCAAGTTATTTTCCCCCTTCTTCTCTCTCCTAGGAATGCCAATAAGTCAAACACTTGGTCTCTTTACATAACCCCATTATTTATTGGACGTTTTGTTCATTTTTTAACAATTTTTTTTCTTCATTTTTGTCTGACTGAGTTGATTTACAGAACCATTTTTCATGTTCTGAAATTCTATGCTCAGCATGGTCTATTCTGCTGTTAATACTTTACATAGAAGTATGAAATTCTTGTAGTGAGTTTTTCAGCTCTAAAAGTTTAGTTTGGTTATTTCTAAAAATAGCTATATTGTATTTCAGCTCTTGGATCATCTTACTGGATTCCTTGGATTGAGTTTCAACTTTCTCTTGCAACTCAATGCACTTCCTTGCCATAAAGATTCTGAATTCTATATCTATTATTTCCAACTTAAGATTCATTGTTGGAGACTAGTGGACTCCCTTGGAGGTACATAGACACTTCGGTTTTTGAATTGCCAGGGTTCTTGTGCTAATTATTTCTCATCTGGAAGGGTTGATGTTCTTTTAATTGTGGTTATAAGTTGAATATAGTCAGTTAGCTTTGTTTGTAGATGGTTTCAGAAAGCCAATGCTCTGTGTAGAGTCTTTCTTTTTTTGTGACTGAATTACTGCCCTTGGTTCCATAGGGGGGTATATTAGCTTAGTAGTTTTGGTGTTTTACATTGGGCTGAGATGCAGTAGATGGTTCTTAAGAGTACTGGCAGTAGGTAGGCTCTTACTAAGCCACTGGCTTCTTTGTGTTTCCTGGCGTTTGTAGCTGTGCTCTGTGTTGCAACAGAGAGAGAGATGACCTCATTAGCTATACATCTGGACCTTAGGGGAGCTTCCTCATATCACTGGCACTGTGTCAGTTTCTCTTTTCTTAGCTCTTTTGGTTCATGGGGCTTCCTCAGGCAGAGGCAGCAGGCAGGAGGGAAACAGGCCTCACATTTTCTGGGCTGGCTTTGTGGAGGCAGGCATTCTCCCCACCTGTGACAGCCCATGAGCCCATGCAACTTACCCCTCTCAGTGCTCTGGGAGTGTAAACTCCTCTCCTTTCAGAGTGCTGGTCACAGATCTCCGTTCACCACTCCCAAGCTGTGCACTGCCACCCTGGAGTGTGGTGAAGTTTTTTCTTCCCTCCTCAGCTTGGAGGCAGCAGGGGTGGGGACCATGGCAGCAGCAATGGCAGAGGGCCTGTCAGTTGACTCTGGGTATTCCACCTCAGCTAAATGAAAAACCATGGCTGATTAGTAAACAGCTGGGGATGTGGCAGGTGTGCTATGACCCATGCTAGGGAGCCCTGCCTTGTAAAGAGCAGTGGGGGCAGGGACTAACAGGGAAGACAGTCTGGCCTTCCCTCTGTAGGGCGGCTATGGCATGCTGGAGATATAAACACAGCAATCAGGTGAATTGTTCCCTTTCCATCACTAGGGCAGCAAGGCAGGGTATACAGTGGCAGCAGTGGAAGAGGGGCTGTTAGTTGCCTCTGGGAACTCCACCCCAGAGAAATGCAGAGCCATTGCTGATTGTGATGATCAGCCAGGAGTGGGGCTGCTGTACTGCAGACCCAAGCTGAGGGTGGGGAGTGGAGGACTGCCTGACAAAGAACAGGGTGCTCAGTTCACATTAAAGGCAATCTAAACTCTTCTACATAAAATGGCTGTGGCATACTGTAGGCATGTGAAAACAATCAGGCTCTTTGTTTCCTCCTAGCCTGGGGGGAGCAATGGTGGCAGCAATGGCAGAGGGTCTGTCAGTTGTCTCTGGGAGCTCCATCCTGGAGAAATACAGAGCTGCCATGGACCGATGTGATTAAGCAGGTGTGAGGTGGCTGCACTGTGGGCCAAAGCCAGGAGGCTCTGCCCAGTGAGGAGCAGCAGAAGCAGGGTCAGATGTGGAAAACAATCTGGATACCTTTTCATAGGGCAGCTGTGGCTTGCTGGAGGCCCACTATATTTCTTGGATTCTTTGCTGCCTCCCCAGCCTGAGAGCAGCAGGGGTGGGGTCCACAACCATAGCAATTGCAGCAGACCTGTAAGTTACTTCCGGTAGCTGTATTTCAGAGAAATGCAGGGCCACAACCAGCTGGAGTGCTCAGACAGGGGTCGGGTGGTTGTTCTGTGGACCCCAGCCAATGGACCTTGCCTGATGAGATACAGCAGAGGTGGGGTTTGTGGTCTCTCTGCTCCTCACCATCATGAATATGGCCCCTATCTTAGGGATGTGTGAGAGAGCCTGGCCTCCCTTGTTGGCAGGGCTATGAAAGCTGGCACAAGGAAACCACACTAATGGGGCTGAACATGAGCTTGAGCTGTGGCTCTGCCGAGACACCAGGAAGCTCTCTGTGTTGGACTATAAGCCTGGGGGTGCCAATGGGGATCTTCAGTGCCCATAACCTCAAAGGTTTGTGGCATAAATTTGAGTCCCCAAGGGTTCTCCCTCACTCACCCTTTTCTCATGGTAGGGAGCCTCCCCTGGCTCTGCACCAATCCCAGGTAGGCAGCTGTCCTGCCTCAGTTTTTACTGGTGTTCATGTGGCACCATTGCTTTTTTTATGAATCCCAATGAGGCTTCCTGGATTATCACTTGAAGAGGTAGTGTTTACTCACCACTCTGTCTTTTCCCCATGAGAACAGCACACACCATCTGCTTCTACTCAGCCATCTTGGTGCTTCTTACAGAGTAATGTCTTAAAAACAGGATTTTCTATTTAAGCTACATCATTAATGTTATTTGACATCCTAATTCCTGATGTGCTCCTTTTTTAATCCTTCATACTGACAGTTGTCATAACTATATCTAACAATTATTTATTCTGCATTTTTATTGATTTGACATATTCTTCATAATTCATCATCTTGGGTAGAAGTCTATTTTATCTCCATGTCAAATAATAATGACACATATCTTTAAAACAAAAATGGTTGTTGGAATTCGGAATTCTATACAACAGATTGGATAGTCCTTGTTGCTGAGACTTTCTGCCTAATAGTTTTTGCTTAATTGTATCAACCAAACTCTTAAGTTTTAGGTGTCACATAGGGCTTAGTCACCCTGTACTCATAATGGTACCTTAAAGAGAGGAATCAGCAATAATAATAATAATACATTGATATAATGCTTATTATGTGTCATGCATTAAGTAGTTTATGCACATTAAATCTTTTAATTTTCATAAACCATCCTATGCGGCAGATCTGATTGTCATTACCCACATTTAGTAAATAAGGCTATGGTGGCAAAGGGGAATCAAGTAGTTTTTTGAATGCTACATAGCTAGTAGTAGTAGAGTTGACAATCAAACCCAAGTACTGAAGTGTCAGAGTCCATATTGTTAACCACTGTGTTGTACTGCCTTTTATTTTTACTCATTTAGAAGTGAGTAACTAACATAGATCATCATCATGGAAATATACAAAAGAAACAAAAAACAGAAGACAGCTCTGTTTCACAAGCTTATCATAAAGTGTGCAGGACAACTGAGCCGATGCAATATAATTATCATTGGATCATAGCACATCATTTCTCAGGCACAGTGAAGTAGCAGAACATGTCACTACAGAAACCCAGATTTAAGGAGCATGTGACATACTGATGCTGACACTGAGAGAAGATAACATAAGAATCTCCTACGCATAAGCCCACAAGAGAAAGGGTCTGGAAACTCCCTGAATTCTTGTAGAAGGATAGGGGGAAATTATTATAAGAAGTCAGAGAAATATTGCATTTTACTGTTATTGTGATTATGAAATAAAAATAGATATACATTTAAAAGTTAGATAGTATGTGGGTTTGATATATCAGTTCAAGTTTTTTATATGATTATGAAGTTAAAATTTGCATTTGGGACCAAATGCTGGACATCATTTATAAACAAGTACAATCCTATTTGGAAAAGGTTAATAGAATATATCTCACTTTAGTCACAATATCAGAAGTCCTAGAATGTACAGGCTCATTTTTGGAATACATTTTTTTATCTTTGCTCCTAAAATATCTTTGTAATAAACACACTCTTTAAAAAAATTTTAAAAATGGAAAATATAAAAAGGCAAAATGTGTCCCTTTTTGTAAGTTACAAGATCTAGTCATGTTTTTGACACAGTTCTCTAAATGCTTTGTTGTGAGATGTTTTAAAGTATGTATGAGATAAATGCATTTTATGGTGTCATTGATCTTTAACTACTCAGAGGTACTGAATATAAATATCAAAACTGATGAACTGCAGAGCCATTCCATCCAAGACAACTCTCAGTATAACACTGTGAAAAATGACCTTATTAGATCTTTCTCCCATCTCCTGAAAAAATCTTTACAATGACTAGAACTGCACCACACTTCAGGGATTTGAATGAAAGAAATCTTTAACAACTTTGAGTGCAAAATTCCACTGGTAGTTGAAGAAATTATTGCCTAAGATTAACTCTGCAGTCAAATTCTACTAGTTAGTTATAAACAATTAACACAACACTTTATACCAGGTGATTTTTTTTTACTATAAAATAGCCTAAAAGAAAATAAATTGTCAATGCAGCATACACTTAATAGCTCCTTGCCAACCCAAGTTGTTTGTTGACAGTGATCAAAGACTGAATTACAGTTTTACTACTCATTAAATATGATGCATTGTCAGATGAAAGCTATCACTCAGAAAAGTATTGTAGAATCACCTCTTAATAACCACAAGGCATAGCTTTTAAAAATATGGTAAGAAATGATAGGCTATTGCAAAATAATCAATATGGCCACAGGTGAAATATTTTAGCTGGAACTTTCTCCTGGCTGTTAAAAAAAATCAAACAGTATAATAAAGATTGCCTATTAAAAAGTCGATTTATCCTGTTTTCTCTAAAAATTGGCCTCTATTAATGTTTTTACTTCTTTACCCCCTATGCCTTCCAATACTTCTCACTATAACCCCCATTGCCCCCATTATGATCCTACCCTTTGTTCTGATTCCCTGGAGTCTTGGCCTCCCACGACTTATCTGATTAAAAAAAATTGTATTGCAGTGTGTTGTACGGTTTAATTAATTCCTCCCAGGAATCATACATTCTAAAAGAGATCCTCTGAAAATAATAACTTAGTTCTAGAGTACTGGCCATATTTTTGTCAAAATCTGGACTAATCAGAGATTAGTTTTCAGCCTCACATACTGAGAGGAGTCTTAGTAGTCCATAAAATACATAAAAAAGGGCATAGGGGATAATAAAAGTCTTGAGTTGATACATTTCACCACTTCAAACTAGCTATGTAAACTTGGATTCTTTACCTCACTTTTTTGAGCTTCCTACTTGTAAAATCTTATTAGTAAGGGTACTTATTTATATATCAAATTGTTGATTAATATCCCATGAGAGTGTTTATTTAGCTATCTGGTTAGCTCTCTTCTGCTACACTTTCAGGCAAGTAACAGGTGTTCAATCTTCTTCATTTCCTTTTCCATTTACTGTAAATGCTCAGGAAAAAGTTGAATGACTGTTAAGACAGCAAGCATACTCAAGGCCATAGGGAAAACACAGACTTCTTAAAAAATGAGAACCACTACTAAGAAGGTTATAAAAGGAGGTCAGTTACATTAGTTACATTCTTTAACAGTAGGGCAATAGCCAGCATGATTTTCAGAAGCACTCACCTCTCTAGTAAAACTGACTGTTATCTGATCTTTTAGTCTTTATTGTAATGAATCTCAGCTTCCTGACTACCTGCTAACCACTAATTTGTTTGCCTGGTTGTCAGCTGTGGCCTTTCTAATTGCTCCTCTGTGTTTCAGCATGAGTTACTGCAGTTACTGCTTTAGTTTTTTTTTTTTTTTTTTTTGCTTTGAATGTTTGGCCTCTATCTGCCACAACCAACTTATTCTGCCTTAGCTCCTTAACTCCAATTGTCTCTGGCAACTTGGTCCACTATTGGTATGTATTTATAAAACATTACAGTCATTACTGCTGTAACTGAAATGCAAGTTCAGTCACTCACCACTTGCAGAGTTCAATTAACAAGAGCAAGGTCTGGTATAAAGGAAGTGACTGTTTCAAAGCTTAGCACAGGGGAAGAGGTACAGGCTCCTGCCTTTAAGGGAATTGCTTTACTTTAGGGGCAGAAAAAAGGAGTTTTAAAGGGCAGCTTTCACTAAAAGGCATGCAGAGAAGAGAGTGAGCAGGTGTGGGAGTTACATGACTTGGAGTTATCTACCAGGTGGTTGAGCTGGTGCCATTATGGGCAGAGTGAGGTTGTAAAGTGGCTGATGTCGCAAGATGCTTTCCAGGTGAGAGAGAGTTTCATCGTGAGCATAATTTAGGTTGTAAATTGACTGTTGTCTCAAGGAAATCTCCTGCTGGGAGAGAGTTCTGGCTCTGGAGCTTCTAAATAAGCATATAAATAAGCTTGCTGTATAGGGAGTGTCTGGTAAAGGGAAGGTAAAGATTATAATTGTGTTTCTAAAGAGCTAAGTGGAAAGCCGAGAACAAGAGGAATGAAGGAAAGAGAAACAAAATAATAATAATAATTTTAAAATAACTTCTTATCTTTCTCTTAGGAAAATTGGGTTACTCAACTACACTGACTTCTCTATTCCAGTCTCTGCTCTAAAACAGTTAATTTGCTTTTGTCAGGTATTCTGTTAGGAATTCATTGTTATGGGACAAGTTTTGACAAGATAATTTCTAGACCTGTTTTGTACATCTTTCATATTCTATGTACATATATTCATTTGTACTATGGTAGGTGGGTGAGAGAGAAAAAACAGAGGTAGAGAGACCATCTTGTGCCTCTCCTATCATTCTGCATGAATAGCAACTTTCCCTTCCTATAAATATGTACAGCCACATACTGGAAACATATCGTGTACTGCTTTCTGAATATGGGTACAATCTGTTATACAAGGTAGTGGTTTTCAAAATTTTCAAGTGGTACAGATCTTTATGCAAATAAGTTAAGTGAAAAATTAATTTACCAAATACACAAAATTCTGCTCTTTTTTGAAAGTGTAGGAGTAGAAAGCAGTGGAAAGTACCTATCCTCAATCACTTGGCTTTCACCTTACCCTTCCTCTGAAATCCAATGGCCAACTCTGGGAAACTTTAGGATTTCATAATATTTTGTTTAATTAGTGGAAGGTGAAAAATCTGAGGGCTTGGAAGATAATTTAACTTCTACCAGGGACATACTAGGCTTCTTTATGAATTTATCCTGCTTAAAATTGATCTCTATATCCGCTCCATGCAACACAGACACATGTATTTACTTAAATAGAAAATAGTCAAAATAAAATAAGATTAAAAATTTACTTTCTCAGTCACACTGGCTGCATTTCAGTTGCTTAACAACCACATGTAAGTAGTAGCTACTCTATTGTCAGTACCAATAAAGAACAGTGCCATCATTGCAGGATGTTCCACTGGACAGCATTGCTCTCAGCATTGTGTCTCTGGAAAAACTCTAAAATCTTGTCTTTTTCAAATAAGTTATCACATAAATCCTAGGACAGGGACAATCAATATTAAATATGTTACACAAATACAAGAACACGTACAGAATTCTCTTTCTCTTTTTATGTGTGTGTGTGTATTACTTCTTTCACTCTCTTTGTTTCTTTTATTAATTTATTTAGATTTACTGAAGATGTACTACATGCCAGTCACTGAAGTAGGTAATTGGGTAGAAATAGTGGGAAAAATAGTCGCTGCCTCTGGTTTCATGACCCATAGCAGATAGTTGGGGAGATAAATATTAACCAAATAATTACACAAAGAAAACTAACATAATCTGTGTTATGTGCCATGAAGGAGAAGTACATATTAATATGAAATTGTACAATAAAGGGATCTAATCTAGTCAGAAAAGTTAAGAAAGATTTCAATGAGGAATTAATGATTAGGTAGGGTAGGGTTGTATGGTAGTGAGAGAGGGACTGCTTAGGAGATTTATAGGTAGGGAAAAAAGCAAATGTGAAGGCCCTGGGGCATATATTTAAAAAAAAAAAAAAACTGAAAGAAACCCAGCATGACAGGAGCACAGAGAACAAAAGAGAGAGTCGTACAAGGAGATGTAAGGGCTAAAACTTATAGTATCTACAGACTAATGTCGAGCTCTTTTGTTTTCCTAAGAGAATTGGGAAGTCATTCCAAGTTTTCAAACAACTGAGTGACTTGATAACATTTGTATTTGTAACACTCTTTCTGGATGCAGAGGAGAGCATAGATTGATAAGGGAAAAGGGTAGATGCTTAGATGCATTACATCACTCATAAGAATAATGTAGTAAGGCCAGGCGTGATGGCTCACGCCTGTAATCCCAGCACTTTGGGAGGCCGAGGCAGGCAGATCGCAAGGTCAGGAGATCAAGACCATCCTGGCTAACACGGTGAAACCCGGTCTCTACTAAAAATACAAAAAATTAGCCGGGCGTGGTGGTGGGCCCCTGTAGTCCCAGCCACTCAGGAGGCTGAGGCAGGAGAATGGCGTGAACCCGGGAGGTGGAGGTTGCAGTGAGCCGAGATCGCACCACTGAGCTCCAGCCTAGGTGAAAGAGCAAGACTCCGTCTCAAAAAAAAAAAAAAAAAAAAAAAAAAAAAAAAAAAAAAAAAGAATATTGTACTAGTAGTCCAGATGAAAAAGGATGATAGCTTATAAATCTTTTATTATTGAAAATGGGTAAAAGCAGACTATGTAAAATCTACAGAATTAGTGGTATATTGGAGAGGAAGAAAGAGGAAGTGGGAGGTGGTCAAGGATGATCTCATAGTTTATAATTTTTCCCATGGAAGGTGCAGTGCATTGAGATAAGAAAAACAGGTATACCTCAGAAATAGTTTGGGTCCAGAGCACCTCCATAAAACAAGTCATTCAAATTTTGGTAGTAATATAAAAGTTCTGTTCGCACTATACTATATTAAGTGTGAAATAGCATTATGTCCAAAAAAATGCATATACCTTTATTAAAAATATTTTATTGCTGAAAAATGCTAACAATCATTGGAGCCATCAGTGAGTCAGAATCTTTTTGCCGATTGAGGGTCTTGCCTTGATATTGTTGGCTGCTGACTGATCTGGGTTGTGATTACTGAAAGTTGGGGTTGGCCATGGCAATTTCTTAAAACAACACTAAAATTTGCTGCATCAATTGACTCTCCCTTTCATAAAAGTTTTCTCCATAACAAGTGATGCTTTTTCACTGAATTTTACCCGTAGTAGAATTTCATTTAAAACTGGAATCAGAGAAGGAGGTAAGATGGCTGATTAGATGCAGCCAGGATAAACATCTCCCACCAAAAAAATGGGACTTCAGGAAGACTGGCACACTCTCAGTAGATCTTCACAGAGAAGGCATTGACAGTGGATGGAGCAAAAACACAGATGCTGGGCTGAAAGGGGAGGAAGCTAGGAACCTTGCACGGGTCTACTGTGCATCAGGGCTTGTTCCTAGCCCCTAAGAACCCTGAGGAAAAGGGTGAGTTGAACAAGCAATCAACAACCTGTTCTCACCACGGGTCTCTGGAATACTGGCAGAAGGAGACTCCTCAACCACCATGGACACTTGAGTTGACAGAGAGAGCTGCTAAGAGTTATGGTAGGGGCAGAATTCCAGCCAGTGTAGAGTCCAGAGGGTTTGGTGTGAGTGTCTGTAGAGAAGCATGGTCAGGGATGGCCATCTCCCTAGGCTCAACTTGACTCCATAGGAGATGTTAGTCCTAGGGGAACTGTGGAACCTAAACTCTGCATGCCAGTCTTGCCCATGAGAAGAAGCCCATCCAACCTGAGCACCCCTAAGTCTGCTGGCCTTGCCCATGACACTAGCCTGGCATTCACTCTAGCTGTGCTGCCACCACTGCTGCTGTGAACATCTGCTTGGAGGTTGGCACCTAAACACCTGCTAACACCCTGCCACAGCCAACGAATATGCACCCCACCATGTTCCCACTGCTGCTACTGCTGGCATGTGTGACAAGGATGGATCCCACTACCACTGCCATATAAAGTACTTTGGCTGGCACCACACATTGGACTGTCATGACCATCAGTCTGAAAGCACATTGGCCTCTCTAGCACTCAGGTTCCTAACCTAGAGAAGACAGAGAACAAAGCCAGGGCTTGATGCCATTCTCCCAGAGTTAGAGGATGCAGTCAAGGAGTCCTGAGCTGAGCCTTGCTCCCCTAAAACCTTCAAGAAATGAAGCCAGGAGACTAAACCTACGTTATATCATAATCAAACCCTAAAGGATATCAAATAGGATAAAAGGAAAAAATTCCCAAAGACAATAACCTCAAAGATTGAAGGAATACCAGCCCACACAGATGAGAAAGAACAAGCACAAGAACTCTGACAACTCAAAAAGCCAGAATGCATTCTTTCCTTTAAATGTCCATACTATTTCTCCAGCAAGAATTCTTAACCAGGCTGAGTTGGCTGATATGACAGAAATAGCATTCAGAATGTGCATAGGAATGAAGATCAAGATCTAGGAATATGTTGAAACCCAACCTAAGGAAGCTAAGAATCACAGTAAAATGATACAGCAGCTGACAAACAAAGTAGCTGGTATAGAAAAGTAACTGAACTGATCAAGCTGAAAAACACACTACAAGAATTTCATAATGCAATCACACATATTAATAGAAAAATAGACCAAGCTTTGAAAAGAATCTCCAAACCTGAGGATTGGCTTTGTGAAATAAGACAGTCAGACAAGAATTTAAAAAATGACAAGAAACAAACAAAATCTCCAAGAAACATGGAATTAAGAGATTGAATTTATGACCCATTGGCATCCCTGAAAGAGAAGGGGAGAATGAAAGTAACTAGTAAAACATATTTCAGAATATCATCCATGAGTACTTCCCCAGATTAGCTAGTAAGGTAAATAGTTAAATTCAAGAAATGCAGAGAACCCCTGTAAGATACTTCACACGAAGATTGTCCCTAAGATACATAACCATCATATTCTTCAGGGTCAAAAATAAAAAATAATGTTACAGGCAGCTAGAGAAAAGGGCAAGTCACCTACCAAGGGAAGCCCATTAGACTAACAGCAGACCTCAAAGCAGAAAACCTACAAGCCAGAAGAGCTTAGAGTCCTATATTCAACATTCTTATAGAAAAGAAATTCCTACCAAGAATTTTATATCTGGCCAAACTAAGATTCATAAGTGAAGGAGTAATTAGATTATTTTCAGACAAACAAATGCTGAGGATATTAGTTACCACTAGACCTTACAAGTGTTCCTGAAAGAAACACTAAATATGAGAAAGAAAGATTGTTACCAGTCACTGAAATACACACTTAAGTACACAAACCAGTGATTTAAAGCAACCACATAAACAAGTCTGCATAACAATCACCTAATAACATTGTAACATGATCAAATAAACATATATCAATAATAATCTTGAATGTAAATGGGCTAAAAGCCCCAAATAAAAGGTACAGAGTGTCAAGCTGGATAAAGAAAGAGAACCCAATACTATGCTGTCTTCACAAGACCCATTTCACATGCAGTGACAAACATAAGCTCAAAATAAAGGGACGAAGAAAAATCTATGAAGCAAATGGAAAAAAACCCAGGAGTTGCAATCCTAATTTCAGACAAAACAGACTTGAAACCAACAAAAATCAAAAAGGACAAAGAAAGGAATTACATAATGGTAAAGAGTTCAATTCAACAAGAAGACCTAATTGTCCCTAATATACATGCACCTAACCCAGGAGCACACAGATTCATAAAGGAAGTTCTTAGAGACCTTTAAAGAGACTTAGCCTCCCACACAAGAATAGTGAGAGACTTCAATACCCCACTGACAGTATTAGACAGATCATCATGACAGAAAATTAACAAACATATACAGGACCTGACCTCAATACTGGACCAAATAAACCTGATAGACATCTACAAAACTGTCCACTGAACAACAGTAGAATATACATTCTTCTCATCTTCACAAGGTACCTACACTAAAATTGACCACACAATCCAAAATAAAATAATTCTCAGCAAATTCAAAAGAATCAAAATCATAAAAATAGAATCCAAGACTACAAAAATAACTGAAAATCATGCAATTGAGTAGAATCTAAACAACCCGCTCCTGAATGACTTTTTGGTAAATAATGAAATTAAGGCAGAAATCAAGAAGTTCTTTGGAACTAATGAGAGCTAATATACAACAAAGCAGAATCTCTAAGATGCAGCTAAGGTAGTGTTCAGAGAGAAATTCATAGCACTAAATGCTCACATCAAAAGTTAGAAAGATCTTGATTTAGCAACCTAGCATCACAACAAAAAGTAAGGGAGGAGACCACCCTTCATATGGTCTTATGCCCAATTTCTGCCTCTAAAGGAAGAAGAAGTAAAAACTAAAATGCAGAAATGGAATCCACAAGCAGATAGCCCAGCACCACACCCTGGGCCTGATAGTTAAAAATCAACCCCTGACCTAACTGCTTGTGTTATCTATAGATTTCAGACAGTGGATGGAAAAGCATTGTGAAAATCCCTGTCCTGTTCTGTTCCATTCTAAGTACCAGTGCATGCAGCCCCCAGTCACGTACCCACTGCTTGCTCAATCAATCACGACCCTCTCATGCGGACCCCCTTAGAGTTGTAAGCCCTTAAAAGGGACAGGAATTGCTCACTCGGGGAGCTCGGTTTTTGAGATGTTAGTCTTGCCAACGCTTCTGGCCGAATAAAGCCCTTCCTTCTTTAACTCGGTGTCTGAGGGATTTTGTCTGCATCTCGTCCCGCTACAAAAGAACTAGATAAGCAAGAGCAAACCAATCCCAAAGTTTGCAGAAGACAAGAAATAAGCAAAAGCAGAGCTGAACTTAACAAGATTAAGACATGAAAAAGATAACCAAATGCAGGAGTTGCTTTTTTGAAGAAAATTAATAAGATGGATAGGTCACCAGTTAAACTAATAAAAAAGAAAAGAAAGAAGATCCAGATAAAAACAATTAGAAACAACAAAGGGGATGCCACTAGTAACATGACAGAAATACAAATAACTATCAGAGACTAGTATGAACACCTCTATGCACAGAAACTAAAATATCTAGAAGAAGTGAATACATTCCTGGACACATACACCCTCCGAAGACTGAACCAGGAAGAAATTGAATCCCTGAACATACTAATTGATATGGTTAGGCTATGTCCTCACCCAAATCTCATGTCAAATTGTAGTTCCCATAATCCCCATGTGTCATGGGAGGGACCTGGTAGGAGGTAATTTAATCATGTAGGTGATTTCCCCCATGCTATTTTCATGATAGTAAGTTCTCATGAAATCTGAGGGGTCTTCCTCCTTCACTCAGCTCTCGCTCATTCTCTTTCCTGCCACCCTGTGAAGAGGTGCCTTCCACCATGATTGTAAATTTCCTGAGGCCTCCCCAGCCATGCAGAGCTGTGAGTCAATTAAACCTCTTTTCTTTATAAATCACTTAGTCTCTGTATTTCTTCACAGCAACATGAGAATGAAATAATACAGTAAATTGGTACTGCAGACAGTGGGGTGCTGCTATAAAGATACCCCAAAATGTGGAAGCAACATTAGAACTGGGTAACAGGCAGAGGTTGGAACAGTTTGGAGGTCTCAGAAGAAGACAAGAAAATGTGGTAAAGTTTGGAACTTCCTAAAGAGTTGGAGAACTCAGAAGACAGGAAGATGTGAAAGTTTGGAACTTCATAGACACCTGTTGAACGGCTTTGACCAAAATGCTGACAGTGATATGAACAATGATGTTCAGGCTGAGGTGGTCTCAGATGGAGATGAGGAACTTCTTAGGAACTGGAGTAAAAGTCGCTCTTGCTGTGCAAAGAGACTGATGGCATTTTGCCTGTGTCCTAGTGATATGTGGAAGTTTGAACTTGAGAGAGATGAGTTAGGGTATCTGGTGGAAGAAATTTCTAAGCAGCAAAGCATTCCAGAGGAAACAGAGCATAAAAGTTTGGGAAAATTTGCAGGCTGATAGTGTGATAGAAAAGAAAAACCTATTTTCTCAGGAGAAATTTAAACTCACTGCAGAAATTTGCATAAGTAACAAGGAGCCAAATGTTAATCCCCAAACAATGGGGAAAATGTCTCCAGTGCATGTCAGAGACCTTTGCAGCAGGCTCTCCCATCACAGGCCCAGAGTCCTAGGAGGAAAAAATGGTTTCCTGGGCTGGGCCCAGGGCCCACCTGCTCCATACTGCCTTGATACATGGTGCCTTGTGTCCCAGTTGCTTCAGCTCCAGACATGGCTAAAAGGGGCCAAGGTTCATCTCAGGCCATTGCTTTACAGGGTGTAAGCCATAAGCCTTGTCAACTTCCATTTGGTATTTATCCTGCAAGTGCACAGAAGACAAGGATTGAGCTTTGGGAACCTCCACCTAGATTTCAGAGGATGTATGGAAATGCTTGGATGTCCAGGAAGAAATCCACTGCAGGGGCACAGCCCTCATGGAGAACCTCTGCTAGGGTGATGCAGAAGGCAAATGTTGGGTCAGAGACCCTACACACAGTCCCCACTGGGGCACTGCTTAGAAGAGCTGTGAGAAGAAGGCCAGCATCCTATACACCCTAGAATGGTAGATCCACTGACAGCTTCTGCCATACACCTGGAAAAGCCACAGACTCTCAATGCTGGCCTGTGAATGCAGCCAGTACAGAGGGCTATAACTTGCAAAGCCACAAGAGCAAAGCTGCCCAAGGTTGTGGGAGCCCACCTCTTGCATCACCATGTCCTGGATGTGACATGGGGTCAAACAAACTTTAAGGTTTAATGACTGCCGTATTGGATTTCTGACTTGAGTGGGGACTGTAGCTCCTTTGTTTTGGCCAATTTCTCTCATTTGAAGCATATGTAGTTACCCAATGCCTGAACTTCCATTGTATCTAGGAAGTAACTAACTTGCTTTTGATTTTACAGGCTCATAGGCAGAATCGACTTGCCTTACCTCAGATGAGGCTATGGACTTGGAATTTTGAGTTAATGCTGGAATAAATTAAGACTTTGGGAGACTGTTGGAAGAGCATGATTGTGTTTTGAAATGTGAGGACATGAGATTTGGGATAGGTCAGGGTAGAATGATATGGTTTAGCTGTGTCCCCACCCAAATCTCATGTTGAATTATAATTCCCATAATCTCCATGTGTTGTGGGAGGGGCCTGGTGAGAGGTAATTGATTCACATGGTTGGTTTCCCCAATGCTATTCTCATTATAGTAAGTTCTCATGAGATCTGATAGTTTTATAAGGTGCTTTCCCCTTCTTTCAGCCCTCATTCATTATCTCCCCTGCCACCCTGTGAAGAGGTGCCTTTTGCCATGACTTTAAGTTTCCTGTGGCCTCCCCAGCCATGCAGAACTGTGAGTCAATTAAGCCACTTTTCTTTATAAAGTACACATCTCAGGTATTTCTTCATAGCAGCATGAGAATGAACTAGTACACCAATAAAGAGCTCTGAAATTGAATCAGTAATAAATAACCAACCAAAAATAAAAAGCCCAGGACCAGATGCAGTCACAGTCAAATTCTATCAGATGTATATAGAAGAGCTGATATTATTTCTACTGAAACTATTCCCAAAAATTGAGGAAAAAGGATTCCTCCCTAACTCATTCTATGAGGCCAGAAACAACCTGATACCAAAACCTGGCAGAATCACAACAACAAAAAAGAAAACTGTAGCCAATATTCTTGGTGAACGTTGATGCTAAAATCCTCAAAAAATACTAGCAAATCAAATCAAGAAGCACATCAAAAAGCTAAGCCACCATCATCAAGTAGGCTATCACTGTGATGCAAGATTGGTTCAACATATGCAAATAAATAAACATAATTCAACACATAAACAGAACTAAAGACAAAAAAAACATGGTCAACTCAACAGATACAGAAAAAGCTTTTGACAAAATTTAACATCTCTTTATGTTAAAAATTCCCAATAAATTGGTATTGAAGGGACACATCTTAAAATAATAAGAGTCATCTATTTCAAACCCACAGCCAACATTATACTGAATGGACAAATGCTGGAAGAATTGCCCTTGAAAACTGGCAAAAGACAATGATGTCCTCTCTCATCATTACTATTCAACATTGTATTAGTTCATTCTTACATTCCTATAAAGAAATACCTGAGATTGGTTAATTTACAAAAAAAAAAAATGTTTAATTAGCTCACAGTCCTGCAGTCTGCAAAGGAATCATGATAGCATCTGCTTCTGGGGTGACCTCAGAGAGCTTTTACTCAAGGCAGAAGGCAAAGCAGGCATAGGATCTTGCATGGAAGGAGCAAGGCCAAGAGAGAGAGGAGGGAGGTGCCACACACTTTCAAACAACTAGATGTCATGAGAACTCACTATTGCAATGACAGCACCAAGGGGGGATGGAGTTAAATCATGAGAAACCACCACCATGAACTAATAGCCCCCATGAGGCTCCATCTCCAGCATTGGGGATTACATTTCAACATGAGATTTGGTCAAGGACACAGATCCAAACCATATCAAACATAACATTGGAAGTCCTGGCCAGACCAAGCAGGCAAAGTAAATAAAGCGTGTCCAAATTGGACGAGAGGAAGTTGAACTATCCATAATTGTCAATGACATGATTGTATATCTATAAAAAAAAACTATTGTCTTGGTCCCAGAACTCTTTACACTAATAAGCAACTTCAGCAAAGATTCAGGACACAAAATCAACATACAAAAACACTAGCACTCCTGTACACCAACAACAGCCAAGCCACAAGCAAAATCAGGAACACAATTCCATTTCCAGTACCACAAAAATAATAAAATACCTATGAATATAGCTAACCAGGAAAGTGAAAGACCTGTACAATGAGAATTACAAAACACTGCTGGAAGAAATCAGAGATGACACAAACAAATAGAAAACCCTTTTATGTTTGTGAATGAAGAATTCGTGTCATTAATATGGCCACACAGTCAAAAACAATTTACAGGTTCAATGCTACGGCTGTCAAACTACCAGTGACATTCTTCAAAGAACTAGAAAAAGCTATTTTAAAATTTTTATGAAGCTAAAACTAGCCCAAATAGCCAAGGCAATCCAAAGGAGAGAGAACAAAGCAAGAAGTGTCATGCTACCTGACTTCAAACTGAGAAAGGACATTTCCTTGACCCCCTCAAGTGACTTGCAACAGGATGTGGCTGGGCTCAAAACCCTTGTGGAAGGGGGAGCACATAGATGAGCTGATGCAGGAGCTGGGGCAAGTGCCTTTAGGAGCTGGCAGGAACAAACCCTGTACCAGCCCATGGCCATCTAGTGGTTGCCCATGACTTCTGGAGCCCCAGACGGTGTGTGTTACAAACAAAGCTCTTTTAATATTAGTCATCTGCAGATGGCTAAGTGTTAACCAGCTCAGTGAAGAGTCAGGGTGAAAGCCTCTTACACCCTGCCATCTTGGTACCGGGTTTCTTGTCCAGCATCCAGGAAGAATCAGGTCACATGGACTTGAAGGATGGTGAATGTGGAGGTTTTATTAAGTAGTGAAAGTGGCTGTCAGTGGAAGGGGAGCTGGAAGTGGAAAGATGCGGAAGGTGATTATTTCCTGAAGCCCGGCTGGCTCTGGCTGAGCTCCTCTCCAAAGACATGCTGTCTGAAGTTAAGCCACGTCCGTCTGTAGTCTCTGACTCTCAGTTGCTTCTTCTCTTCTCTTCTCCTCTGCCACACTGCTCTACTCTTCTACCAGTGGAATTCGGGTTTTTTATGGGTACACGATGGGGGGCATGATGTGCCAGGGTGGTTTTGGAAAAAGCAACAGTCACGTGGGAAAACAGGTATAACTGTTCTCATTTAGGAATGCAGTTTCTGGGCTTGAGGGTGGGGCCTTTGTCAGGGAACTGCCCTCTTCTCAGCATTTCCCTCCCTCCTGTCCATATCAAAACTATACTACAGGGTTACAGTAATCAAAATCAACACGGTACTGGTGCAAAAAAAAAAAAGGACACATGGACCAATAGAACAGAATAGATAGCCCAGAAATAAGGCCACATGCTTACAACCGTATAATTTTTGACAAAACCGACAAAAAACAAGCAGTAGGGAAAGGACTCTTCATTCAGTAAATGGTGCTGGGATAACTGGCTAACCATATGCAGAGAATTGAAACTGGACCCCTTCTTTACACCATATACAAAATCAATTCTACATGGATTAAACACTTAAATGTAAAACCCATAACTGTAAAAACTCTGGACAACAACCTAGGTGGTAACATACTGAACATAAGGACTGGAAAAGATTTTATGACAAAGTAGCCAAAAGTAATTGCAACAAAAATAAAATTGACAACTGGGATCTAATTAAACTGCAGAGCTTCTGCACAACAAAAGAAACTATCAACAGGGTAAACAGACAATATATAGAATGGGAAAACATTTGCAAGCTAAACATTTGTTGGATATCTGACAAAGGTCTGATATCCAACATCTATAAGGAAATTACACAAATTTACAAGTGAAAACAAATCCCATTAAAAAGTGGGCAAAGAACATAGACACTTTTCAAAAGAAGACATGCATGTGGCCAACAAGCATATACCTCTTAACCTTAAAAAAAAAAAAAAAAAAAAAAAAAAAACTGGAGTCAATTCTCTCAAACCTTGTCTCTGGTTTATCAACTTCATTTATGAAATAATCTGAATCCGTTCTTGTCATTTCAGCAAAGTCCTCGACATCTTCACCAGGAGTAGATTTCATCTTATAAAACTATGTTCTTTGCTCATTCATGAGAAATGACTTCTCATCTTTTCAATTTTCATTATGAGATTGTAATAATTCAGTCACATCTTCAGGCTCCACTTCCAATTATAGTATTTTTGCTATTTCTACAATATCTGCAATTACTTCCCCCACTGAAGTCTTGAACCACTAAAAGTTATCCATGAAAATTGGAACCAATGTCTCTCAAACTCCTGTAAATATTAATAATTTAAGCTCCTTTCATGAATTACAAATATTTTTAAGGGCATCTTTAATGGCAAGTTTTTTCCCGAAGGTTCTCGATTTACTTTTCCCAGATGCATCAGAGAAATCACTATCTATGGTAGCTATAGCATTAGAAAATATATTTATCAAATAATAAGAATTGAAAGTCCCAATGACTCTTTTAGCCATGTGCTATAGAATGGATGTTGTGTTAGCAAGTATCAAAAGGACATTAATGATCATGTACATCTCCATCAGAGCTCTGAAATGACTAGCTGCATTTTCAATGAGCAGTAACATTTTGGATTTTTTTTTTTTCCTGAGCAGTAGGTCTCAACAGTGAGCTTAAAATATTTAGTAAACCATGCTGAAGACAGATGTGCTCTCATCAAGGCTGTGTTGTTTCATTTATAGAGCAGAGGCAGAGTGCATTTTGCATAATTTGTAAGGGCCTTTGGATTTTCAGAATAGTTAATGAACACTGGCTTCAAGTTAGCCACCAAATGCATTAGTCCCTAACAGAAAGTCAGCTTGTCCTTTGAAGCTTTGAAGACAACCATTGACTTCTCTCTAACTATGAAAGCCCTTGATGACATTTTCTTCCAATATATGGTTTTTTAATCTACACTAAAAATCTGTTATTTAGTGTAGACACCTTCATCAATTATCTTAGCTAGATCTTCTGGATAAATTGCTGCAGCTTCTCCATTAGCATTTACTTCACCTTGCACTTCTATATTATGCAGATGGCTTATTTCCTTAAACCTCATGAACCAACCCCAGCTAGATTCAAATTTTCTGTCTGCAGCTCCCTCACTTCTGTCAGCCGTCAGAGAATTGAAGAGAGTTTGAGCCTTGCTCTGAATTAGGCTTTAGCTTAAGAAAATACTATGTGATTTGATCTCATATCCAGACCACTAAAATTTTCTCTATATCAGCAAAAGGGTGTCTTGCTTGTTTATCATTTGTGTGTTCACTGGAACAGCATTTTTAATTTTTTTCAAATAATTTTTCTTTGCCTCCACAACTTGACTAACTGGCACAGAGGCCTAGCTTTTAACCTGTTTTGGCTTTAGACATGACTTCCTCACTAAGCTTCATCATTTCTAGCTTTTGAGTTAAAGTGAGAGATTTGTTTCTCTTCATTTCACTTGAACACTTAGAGGCCATTATAGGGTTATTAGCTAGCCCAGTTTTAATAGCACTATGTCTCAGTAAAGGGGGAGACCCAAGGAGAAGCAGAGAGATGTGGAATGGCTGGTAGTTGGAGCAGTCAAAACATCTACAAAATTGATCAATTACATTTTCTTTCTTATATGGGAGTGATTCATCATCCCATACACTTACAATGGTAACATCAAAGACTGCTGATTAAAAATCACCATAACAGGTATAATAATAATAATAATGAACTTTGAGATATTGTTAGAATAACAAAAATATGATACATAGATACTATGTGAACACTTGCTATTGAACAAATAGTACTAATAGACTTGCTCAACACAGCATTGTTACAAACCTCCCATTTGTAAAAAAGAAAAAACACGATATCCGCAAGGCACAATAAAGTGAAGTGCAATAAAATAAGATATTCCTGTACTATATATGCATTGCAAAGAAATTGATATAAGTTCAGTTTTGGACATTATGAATTCAGTTGATTTTGAGACACCTAACAAGTGTCTAATAGTCAATTGACACCTAATATTTATTTTTCATCCTGCACCAACATGAATGTAAGGCTACTTACAAGAAAATTTGAAAGTAGAGAAATATTTTAAATTATATGACAAAGAAAAAAATAACAATAGTAGAATATAAAACATATCTGAGAATGAAGCTAGTATGAAAAATACATATCATTAAATCCATACACATACTAGAGAAACCAAAACATAGTTAATAGGGCCTATCAGATGAAAACAGGAGACTGGCTCAGAAAAATGCACAAATATTATTGATGTTAAGACTAGGAAGAAATTTATATGGAAAATCCTCATGAATCAGGCTACAAGTAATATAATGACTAATTTCCTTAAAGACATCATTAGACTAAATACAAGTTTTATAGAATAGCATCTTATAGAATTATTTAATATAGAACAATTTAGCTTTCATAATTTATACAAAAATTTGTTTTTTGTTTTTAAATCAATCACATAGGGACGGTTACTTTTTCGTTTTGCTGTGAACTCTTTATGGAAGCTTTTAGCTATATGATATTGTCTCATTCCATTTGGGCAACTATTACAAAATATTATAGACTTGGTGGCTTAGAAACAACAGAAATTTATTGCTCACAGTTTTGGAGACTGAGAGGTCCAAGATCAAGGCACTATCAAATTTAATGTCTGGTTAGGGCCTGCTTCCTGATTCAGAGACAGCTGTCTTCTCAGTGTGACTTCACTTAATTGGGGAGGCAAGGGAGAAGGAAGCTCTCTAAGCTTTCTTTTATAAGGACACTAATGCAATTCATGAGAGATCTGATGTCATAAGCTAATCACCTACAAAAGGCCATAACTCCTAATACTATCACATTGTGGGTTAGGATTTCAACATAAATTTGGGAGCAGAGACACAGACATTCAGCCTATAGATGTATTTACTTCAAGCATTTGAAAAATGCAGAAACTCACTAGTTACTCTTGTCAGCTTACTACCACAAATCTCTTTGTCTGGTATTTTATACAGTTTATTTTCAAATTCAAGCACATAAAATTACATAGCATTTGCTTTCTTTATTATTTTTTCAAAGTAATTGTAGAATTTGTTTTAGAAATGTTTTTGTTTGGTAACTATAACAATTCTAACATTCCTAGCCATAAAGAAAGTAGGCAAAAAGTTGATAGCTTCTGAGTGTGCATTTTAAATTGAATCATCACGTGATACATATTTTAATATTTTTGATTAGATTAAAAAGATTGACTAATTTTGAAAAACTCAGCTCTGTTTACTTACCATGTTTATATTTCTTACGTTTTCTTCTTTATCTCTACACAGTTTTCTCACCTGGAGATATTGTCGCTTCATAATTCTATAACACATACAGATTTTCCTTCTAAATGATGCATTATTTATTTCCAAAAAGGGTCTTATTAACACAATAATATCAGAATAAAAATAAATTTAATACTGTACTTATTAAAGAGTCATATAGATATTCAAATTAATATAGAAAGTAAATTTAAACTGGAAGTTTTCTAAAATAAAAATAATTATGCTCTGTGCATTTGCATTGTATGCCCTGAGCTTAGTGTAACATCCGTCTTCATCTAGTATTATTCTTTGTTAGAAATGGTTGCAATCTTACTCTCCTGCACTCTGATATAAATAAATTTATATCTCCAAGAGCAAATACTCCAGTCAATAACAGTGAAATGCTACTGCTATCACTACTATTACAACTACTAATGATGATGGCTATAAAAGTTGAAAGAGATCACACTATTTTTGACTGTCAATTATTGACTTATTTATTCATTTTTAGTATTAGCACTCCATTTCTTTTTTTATACTAGCTTTATTGAGATATAATTAACAAGACATACAATTAACCCTAAAATTAACCCTTTTATATTGTACAATTCACTGGTGTTTAGTATTAGGTTAGGTTGATGCAAAAGCAATTGTGGTTTTTGCCATTACTTTTAATGGAAAAACCACAATTACTTTTGTACCATCCTAATATATATACAAATAAACTGTGATGGTTGTGAAACCATCACTACAATAAATTTTTAGAGTATTTTAGTCATTCTGTATCTATTAGCAATCACTCCTTGTTCTTCCCTCCTGCAAGGCCCTGGCAACAACTAATTCCCTTTCTGTCTGTATGGATTAACTTATTCTGGATAACTTATATAAATAGATTCATGCGATTCATGCCCTATTGTGTCTAACTGCTTTCACTTAGCATGTTTCTAAGATTCATCAATGTTGCAGCATATAACAGTAATTCATAGATTTTATTGCCAAACAATATTCAATTTTATGAATATACCACATTTTGGTTAACCTTTTAGCATCTGATGGACTTTTGGGTCATTCCCCATATGGTAGCTATTATGAATAATGATGTTGTGAATGTTTGTTTACAAGTTAATATGTAAATATATGTTTGAAATTCTCTTGAGTATATAGCAAAGTGTGAAATTGTTGGGTCATATAGTAACCTATGTTTAACATTTTGAGGAATTGTCAGAATGTCTCCCAAGAGATACACACCTAGACACATAATTATAATCAAGCTGTTGAAGGACAAGCAGAAAATTTTGAAAGGAGCAAAAGATAGGCAACATATTATCTAAAAGTAATCCTAAATGATATTAACAACTGCCTTATCAGAAATCATAAAGTCAGAAGTTAGTGGGATGATATATTCAAAGTACTAAGAGAAAGGCCTGTCAAACAAAAGTTTTGATTTGAAAAAAATAAAGGAGAAATTGAAATATTCTTAGATAAAAGTGAACAACATCCACAACTAGCCAGTCTAGACTACAAGAAATACTAATGGTAGTTCTTCAGGCTTATATCAGTCCATTTTCATGCTGCTGATAAAGACGTACTTGAGACTGGGCAATTTACAAAAGAAAGAAGTTTAATGAACTTACAGTTTCATGTAGCTGGGGTGCCCTCACAATCATGGCAGAAGTCAAGGAGTAAGTTATGTTTTACATGGATGGCAGCAGGCAAAGAGAGAGCTTGGCAGGGAAACTCTTATTTTTAAAACTTTCAGATCTCAGGAGACTCACTCACTATCATGAGAACAGTGCAGGAAAGACCTGCTCCCATAATTCAATCACCTCCCACCGGGTTTCTCCAACAACAGGTGGAATTGTGGAAGTTACGATTCAAAATGAGATTTGGGTGGAGACACAGCCAAACCATATCATTCAGCCCCTGGCCTCCCAAATCTCATGTCTCAAATTTCAAAACCAGTCATGCCTTCCCAACAGTCTCCCAAAATCTTAAATCATTTCAGCTTTAACTCAAAAGTCCACAGTCCAGGTTAGTTACTTCCTAGCTACAATGGGGGTACAGGCATTGGGTAAATGCAGCCTTTCCAAACGGGAGAAATTGGCCAAAACAAAGGGGCTACAGGCCCCATAAAAGTCTGAAATCCACCAGGGCAGTCAAATCTTAAAGCTCCAAAATTATCTCTTTTGATTCCATGTCTTGCATGCAAGAGGTGGGTTCCCATGGTCTTGGGCAGCTCCACCCCTGTGGCTTTACAGGGTACAGCCTCCCTCCTGGCTGTTTTCATGGGCTGGTGTTGAGTGTATGCAGCTTTTCCAGCCACACTGTGCAAGCTGTCAGTGGATCTACAATTCTGGGTTCTGGAGGACTGTGGCCCTTTGCTCACAGCTCCACTAGGTGGAGCCACAGTAGGGACCCTGTGTGGGGAATCTGACCCCACATTTCCCTTCTGCACTGCCTTAGCAGAGGTTCTCCATGAGAGCCCCAACTCTAGAGGAAACTTCAGCCTGTTCATCCAGGCATTTTCTTACATCTTCTGAAATCTAGAAGGAGGTTCCTAAACCTCAGCTCTTGACTTCTGTGCACTCACAGGCTCAACACCAGGTGGAAGCTGCCAAGGCTTGGGGTTTGCACCTTCTGAAGCCACAGTCCAAGCTCTATGTTGGCCCCTTTCAGCCATGGCTGGAGTGGCTGGGATGCAGGGTACCAAGTCCATAGGCTGCACACAGCATGGGGACCCTGGGCCCAGCCAATGAAACCACTTTTTCCTCCTAGGCCTACAGGCCTGTAATGGGACAGGCTGTCACGAAGAACTGTGACATGCCCTGGAGACATTTTCCCTGTTGTCTTGGGGATTAACATTTGGCTCCTCATTACTTTCGCAAATTTCTGCAGCCCGCTTGAATTTCTCCTCAGAAAATGGGTTTTTCTCTTCTATCGCATTGTCAGGCTCCAAATTTTCTGAACTTTTATCCTCTGCTTCCCTTATAAAATTGAATGCCTTTAACAGCACCTGAGTCACCTCTTGAAAGCTTTGCTGCTTAGAAATTTCTTCCACCAGTTACCCTAAATCATGTCTCTGAAGTTTAGAGTCCCACACATCTCTAGGGCAGGGGCAAATGTTGCCAATCTCTTTGCTAAAACATAACAAGAGTCACCTTTGTTCCAATTCCCAATAAGTTTCTCATTTCTATCTGAGACCACCTCAGCCTGAACCTTATTGTTCATATCACTATTAGCATTTTGGTCAAAGCTATTCAACAAGTCTCTAGGGAGTTCCAAGCTTTCCCACATTTTCCTGTCTTCTTCTGAGCCCTCCAAACCGTCCCGATCTGTGCCCATTACCCAGTTCCAAAGTCACTTCCACATTTTTGGGTATATTTTCAGCAATGCCCCACTCTACTGGTATCAATTTACTGTATTAGTCCATTTTTGTGCTGCTGATAAAGACATACCAAATACCAGGCAATTTACAAAAGAAAGAGGTTTAATGGACTTGCAGTTCCACGTGGCTCAGGAGGCCTCACAAATGGTGGAAAGCAAGGAGAAGTAAATCATGTCTTACATGGATGGCAGCAGGCAAAGAGAGAGCTTGTGTGGGGAAACTCCCATTTTTAAAACCATCAATTCTTGTGAGACCATTCACCATCATAAGAACAGTGCAGAAAAGATCTGTCCCCATAATTCAATCACCTCTGACAGGGTTCCTCCCACAACATGTGGGAATTATGGGAGTTACAATTCAATATGAGATTTGGGTGGGGACACAACCAAACCATATCAAGGCAGAAATGAAAAGATACTAGACAGTAACTCAAATTCACTTGAAGATATGAGCATCAGTAATGATAACTACATAAATAAATAAAAAAGATAGTATACATTTGTTTTTTACTTATAACTTGTATTTTTACCCCATGTTTTAAAAAAAGAATTGCACAAAACAATAATTATAGATCAATACTTAATATTAAACAATATATTACGATGTAATTTGTGACAATAACGACAGAAAGAAGGAAGAAAAAAGTAATGTATGATCACATATTTTATATACAGGGGTACTCTGCCTCCCATGGCTAATTTTTGTGTTATTTAGTAAAGATGGGATTTTCCCATCTTGCCCAGGTGGTCTCAAACTCCAGAGCTCAAGTGATCCACCTTCCTCAGCCTCCCAAAGTTCTGGGGTTGCAGACCTGAGCCATGCACCTGGCTAAAATTTGAGTTCCTGACTTGAGAACTTTATTTATTTATTTTACTCAACTTTTATTATATGTTCAGGGGGTTCATGTACAGGTTTGTTACATGAGTAAATTGCATGTTGCTGAGGTTTGGTATACAAATGGCCCAGTTACCCAGGTAGTGAGCGTTGCACCCTATAGTTAATTTTACAGCCCTCTCCTCCCTAAAACTCTCCCTTCTCTAGTAGTCCCCAGTGCCCACTGTCTATTGTACCCATCTTTATGTCCATGTGTATGCAAAGTTTAGCTCCAACTTGTAAGTGAGAATGTACAGTATTTGGGTTTTTTTCCTGTGTTAATTTGCTTAGAATAATGACTTCCAACCTTATCCATGTTGCTGACAAGGATATAATTTTCTTCTTTTATATAGCTGTGTGGCATCTCATGATGTATAGGTACCACATTTTCTTTATCCAGTCCAGTATTGATGGGCCTGTAGGGTAATTCCACGTCTTTGCTATTGTGAATAATGCTGCAGTTGACACACAAGTGCGTGTGTATTTTTGTTAGAATGATTTACTTTCTTTTGTGTATATACCCAGTAATGGGAATGCTGGGTTGAATGGCAATGTTGGAAGTTCTTTGAGAAATCTTCAAACTGCTTTCCTCAGCAGCTGATCTAATTTACATTCCCACCGAAGCAGTGTGGAAGTGCTCTTTTTTTTCCACAACCTCACCATCGTCTGGTATATTTTGTTAATTTAATAATGGCTGTTCTGAATGGTGTGAGATGCTATCTCCGTGTGCTTTTGATTTGCATTTCTGCAATTATTAGTGATCCTGAGCATTTTTAATAGGCTTGTTGGCCACATGTATATCTTATTTTGAAAAATATCTGTTCATGCCATTTTCCGACTTTTTAAAGGGGTTGTTTGTTTTTTCTTGAAAATTTGTATAATTTCCATATAAATGCTGAATATTAGACCTTTGTCAGATGCATAGTTTGCAATTTTTTTTTATCCCATTCTGTAGGTAGTCTGTTTACTCTATTGGCAGTTTCTTTTGCTGTTCAGAAGCTATTTAGTTTACTTAGGTCCCACTTGTCAATTTTGTTTTTGTTGTGATTGTTTTTTGGGAACTTAGCCAAAAATTATTTGCCAAGGCTGATGCCTGGAATGGAATTTCACAAGTTTTCTTTTAAGATTTTTATATTTTCAGGTCTCAAGTTTAAATTTTTAATCCATCTTGAGTTATTGTTTGAAATGTTGAAAGGTAGGGGTCCTATTTTATTCGTCAGCATTTGGCTAGCCAGTTATTCCAGCACCATTTATTGAACAGGGAGTTTTTTCCCTATTGCTTGTTACTGTCTCTATACTGAGGATACAGTTTTTAAATCCATTTTCCCCTTTACTAAATTATGGCAGGAGTGTTTAGTCCACTTACATTTAACATAATTATTGAAAATACAACATCAAAATATGTGAATAGTGCTAAAGTAGTGTAGAGATAAAAAATTATAGCATTGAATTCTTTCATCAACAACAAGAAAATGTCTTAAATTAATAACTTAAGTTCTTATTAAGGAGAAAAATCAAATTAAATCAAGCAAGGGGATGGCTATATTAAAGATAAACACAGTTATCAGTAAATCTGAAAGAAGGAAAGCAATAGAGAAAATCAATAAAATAAAATGTGTGTCTTTGACAAAATAAATAAAAATTAATGTCTCACAAGCCTGATAAAATATAAATGAGATATAAATCACCAATATCATGAATTTAGTAGGAGCTTTTACTAGAGATTGTATAATCATTAAAAGAATAATAGATGGAGCACTATGAAAACTCCATGGTCATAAATTAACATCTTAGAAGAAATAGATCCTCTTCCTTAAAAATCACAAACTACTAGAACTTAACCGAGATTAGGTAGAAAATATGAATAGTTCAGGAACATTTAAAAGATGGAATTAGTTAAAATTCAGGTTGAAAATTTCTAAATATATATATATATATACATATAAAAATAAACCCAGCAATGTATACAAAGATGAATATGCCATGACAACATGAGCTTTATTCCAGATACGCAAAGCTGTCACTGTGAATGATATCAGTTGTGTTTCAATCAAAATAGTTCAACCTATCAAAAGGCTAGCAAGGACAAATTATATGATCATATTAATTGATGAAGAAAAAAGGATTTGACAAAATCCAACACCCAAACTCAGCAAATCAGGAGAGGAGAAAAACTTATACTTGATATAAGTATACAATTTTACACACACACACACACTCACACACACAGATATATATATATATCTGTGTGTATATATATAGAGAGAGAGAGTGAGAGAAAAGAGACAACTCTGTATATATATATAGAGAGAGAGAGAGAGAGAGAGACAGTGTGACTAAAGCTAACATTATTCTTAATGCTGACATTCTGAATGCTTTTGCCTTAAGTTCATCAGGAACAAAGGTAAAATTGCTTATTCTCATCACTCTTATTCAACATAGTCCTGGGAGTTCTAGCTACTTCAATGAGTCAAGAAAAGAAAATTAAAATCATGTAGATTACAAAGAGAGATAAAGTTGTTCCTGTCTGCATGTGATATTATTATTTACATAGAAAATCAGAAGAAATAAGCAATAAAAACAAACAAATCTCCTGGAACTAATAAGTGAGTTCCTCAAGGTTGCAGGATACATGATCAATACACAAAAATCAATCCCATACTTGTATACTAACAGTGAACTTGTGGAAACAAAAATATAAGACATAATACCATTTGCAATCTCTCCAAAATATAACATATTTAGATACAAAACTTAACATGTTAAAAACCATATGCTAAAAATTATTAAAGGCCAATTAACAAAATAAGATCTAAATAAATGAAGAAACATATCTGATTAATGAATTGGCAGTCTCAACATAGTAAAGATGTTATTTCTTACCAAATTGACTTCAAATTATGCTTATGTCAGTACATACAATACATTTTCTTTATTTTAAGCATTGCAGATTATAAAATAATGTTTTTTCTTTTTTCTTTTTTTAATTAACTAATAAATAAAATTTATTATTTATTTAATAAATAATATTATCATTTTTCTTTTTTCTTGTCGATAAACATGTAAGGAGTTTTCATATTTCTGCTGAATTAAGCAATGCTGTTTTGACCTTTCCTTATACAGATATATTTTCATATATGCACAAGTATGCATTTACAAGTGCTATCTATAATTGAAATTGTGTGCCCAGTGAGTGTGTGCATTTAGAATTCTGATAGATACTGAATTATGTTCCAGAAAGGTAGCATGTGTAAGAGTGCATGTTAGTTCATGCCATACTGGACTTTGATATTAACTTTCAAATTGTTTTTTTATTATTTTAATTATTTCTAAATGATAGACTTGAAATTGTATCTCATTACTTTGATTGGCACTCCCCTAATTACTGCATGGTTGAGTATCTTTCATGTTTACCGGCCATTTGTGTTTTCTCTTATCTGAAATGCTTGTTGATTTTTAGACCATTATCTAAATTTTAGATGTTATCTAAAAATTCTTCAAGTATTTGTGTATAGTATCTTTTGACATACAGATTATTTTGTGTTGTTCATTTAAATTTTATGCAATTAACCTTGCCCATCATCCCTTTTATATCTCACAAAGCTGTAAAGATTTATCCTAAATATTGTCCTAATAATTGTATAGACTTTTAAATAAAGTTCAGATCTTTATCTCCAATTAACTTTTTTGAATTCTGGAAAGTAGGCTCTGTTGTAAAGCCTGCGAAATTGGGACTGTATTGGTCCATTCTCACATTGCTATAAAGAACTACCTGAGACTAAGTAATTTATAAGGGAAAAAAAGTTTAATTGGCTCACAGTTCCACAGGTTGTACAGGAAGCATGGCTGGGGAGGCCTCAGTAAACTTATAGTCATGACAGAAGGCATAGGGGAAGCAGATACATCCTACGTGGCTGGGCCAGGAGAAAGAGAGAGCAAAGGGGGAGGAGCTACACACTTTTAAACAACCAGATCTCATGAGAACTTACTATCACAACAATAGCAAGAGGGAAATATGCCCCCACGATCCGGTCACCTCCCAGCAGGCCCCTCCTCTAACACTGGAGATTACAATTTGACATGAGATATGGACGGGGACACAAATCCAAGCCATATCAGGGACTATTTGATATTCATTTTTATATGTAAATACACAGAATCCTGATTATATTCCAGAAGAATATAAGGAAGAGCAAAGGATTATTTTATCCAATCCCTCTTGCATCTAGGGATGGCCAATGATAAATAAGTGGAAGTCATTGGTTGGGGTTTCTTTAAAATCTCCTCAAAAAGCACTGACTTTGCTCATACATATATATATATTTTTCACCCTTTCTTTTCCTACTTCCTTTTATCTGTCTTGAAAGTCCATGTGATAACTGCATCTCCTGCAGTCACTTGAGAATATGAAACATTCTGGAGGATCAGCGCTAGATTTAAAGTTAGTAGAGTAGAATGGTAGCAGGAGTGAAGCCACCATATTGAGAAGTGAGGCCAGCTGGACTTCCTGGGTCAAGTGGAGACTTGGAGAACTTTTCTGTCTAGCTAGAGGTTTGTAAATGCACCAATCAGCACTCGGTATACACGCACCAATCAGCACTCTGTGTCTAGCTAAAGGTTTGTAAACGCACCAATCAGCACTCTGTAAAAATGCACTAGATAGCGCTCTGTGTCTAGCTAAAGGTTTGTAAACGCACCAATCAGCACTCTGTAAAAATGGACCAATCAGCACTCTGTAAAATGGACCAATTAGTGCTCTGTAAAATGGACCAATCAGCAGGTCTTGGGCGGGGCAAAATAAGGGAATAAAAGCTGGTCAGTGGCGCCAGCAGCTGCAATCCACTCTGGTCCCCTTAAATGAAGTGGTTTGTTTGTTCTTTCGCTCTTCACCATAAATCTTGCTGCTGCTTGCTCTTTGGGTCCGCACTACCTTTATGAGCTGTAACACTCACAGCAAGGGTCTGCAAGAGTCTGGGGCTTCATTCCTGAAGTCAGTGAGACCAGGAACGTACTGGGAAGAACAAACAACTCCAGAGGCGCCACCTTTAAGAGCTGTAACACTAACTGGGAAGGTCTGCCACTTCACTACTGAAGTCAGCTAGACCAGGAACCCACTGGAAGGAAGAAACTCTGGATGCATCTGAACATCTGAAGGAACAAACTCCAGACACACCATCTTTAAGAACTGTAACATTCACAGTGGGCTTCATTCTTGAAGTGAGTGAGACCAAGAACCCACCGGAAGGAACCAATTCCGGATACAATATCAGCCAAGGGCAGCCTGAGTTCTTAATTGAGAAAGAAAAAAAAAATTATTTAAGCCACTGTTATTTTATATATATGCAAATCAAAGTAATGAGATGCAATTTCAGTTTATAGATACACATACGTATTTTATATATATATACCTTTATATGCATGAGTCAATTCTGTCTGATACAGATTTTATACTTGTAAGTGTGATGCTGAAATTAATAGAACCTAATTATAGAATTTGCTAAATGGAAGAAATCTGGAGCTGCATATTAATATTTCAGATACAGATAGCAGGCTGGAAAGCCTTGTTAGACAGTGACAAAGCATTTAGTTAAATAATTGCCTGCTTTACGTTAGAAAATAGACCTATGTGTCAACTGACATTGTAGTATTAAAGGAGATGGTAAGAAAAATTCATGATGTTTACGTATGCTAGCCTCTTTCTTGCTATTTTTAGCAAAGTTCTTGCCTGACATAGTTGAACTCGCACTAGAACTAGGCACTCAAGTAGCTCTGTTAAGAAAGAAGCTGGATGGCAGTGGCTCATGCCTGTAGTCCCAGCACTTTGGGAGGCCAAGGCAAGTGGATCATGAGGTCAGGAGTTTGAGACCAGCCTGGCTAATATGGTGAAAGCCCATCTCTACTAAAAATACAAAAATTAGCTGGGTATGGTGGCGTGGGGCCGTAGTCCCAGCTACTTGGGAGGCTGAGGCAGGATAATCGCTTGAAATTGGGAGGTGGAGGTTGCAGTGAGCCGAGATGGCACCACCACACTCCAGCCTGGGGTGACAGAGAGAGACTGAAGAAAAAAAAGAAGGAAGGAAGGAAAGATAGATCTGTTAAAGGAAAATCTCTTGCTGATGCTTATGTGTAATTTAACAAAAAGTCGAGATTTGAAACTCTGCAGGTTGAAATGCCAATTGTGTCTGAAAATTTCTAAATGGTGGTTGCAACATAGTTGCTTTAGCAGGAGCTAATACTAAGGCACCAAATTTTTTAGAGCACCTTCCGTCAAGTGCTCTCTAGCAGAAGAAAGTGGGAACTAGCTGAGCAGCGAATATCAGAATATGGATTTCTTTCTAATGTAAACGGGATTTTGTATTGCAGTGAATTTTCTGGTTGGTAACTATAGGTAAATTGAAAGCTATTTCCTGTATGCTAACTTTATATTTGGCTAGCTTATATCTTTCTCTTTTTCTTTCCTTACTATCTTCATATTCACTTTGGTTACTTCTTTAACCAAGAGTAGCTTAAAATAATTATTGTTAATTTCTAAGTGTGTATGTGTGTGTGCGTTAAATATATCTTGTTGGTCATTCAAATGCTATAATTTTGTGTAACTTCTCGATTTACTGGATATTGGTTAGAGAATGTGATCGGTAAGATATTTTACCTTTGGGAATTTGCTGAGATTTTCTTTGTTGCTTTATATACTCATTAAAAAAATCTGTTGAGATATTAACTTGTGCCAGGTATTGTGTGAGATGCTACAGAAAGGAGGATGAAAATTATATGGTTGCCAAAGCTGTTTTCTTTGCCTGGTCATGTGGCCTAAATTTTCACCTTTCCCATATGTCTGTGAGGGGCACTCTTCTTCATTCTTCAAAATCCATGTAATATCTAGAGTGCTCTCATTCTTCCAGGTGAAAACCAATAATAATGTTTCAACCTTTGAGGTCTCCATCACACCTTATCCATAGATTTGTTACAATGTCATATTCATTTTCAAATCTTGAGAGTTTAGTAAATACTTCTGAAAAGATGACTATGATTTCAAATGGTTCAGATTGCAGTTTAGCAAGAGAAGAAATACGTAAACAATCAATGAAAATGTGAGTCTGTTACATACCAAAACCAAGGTAGATACAAAGTGCTACGTAAGTATAGATAAAAGAGAAAACAGAATTGATTCTGCTTGGGTAATTGATGCAGAACCTCTCTTCCCAGAGGAAGCAGTATCTAAGCTGGCATTTCCTAGGTGGAGGAGAGGTATATCCTCTGCCAAAAGAATGAAATGAGAAAGATAAGCGTCATGCTCGTGTTCAAAGGAGATAGGGTAGTTGGAAAAAACTGTGTTTTAGGGATGTTTGAAAGGGGTACTAAGCCATGTCTCAAAAAGTATCTCTAAGGAATTTGGAGTTTATCCTATAAACAAAATAGTTCCATAAAAATTGTTCAAGATTGGTTGTTAAACTACATAGGCAAATGAATACTCAAGATTTAGTGTACCTGATTTTACATTGATGATTTTACAGAGTGTAACACTGTTGTGTTTTGCCTTCAGTGTGTAGCAGGATTCTGGTTTTTTTGTGTGTTTAAAAAGTATTAATTTACTGTTAGGCATAGGAATCTGAGTTTCAAACCAGAGCTTAGCTTTAGTGATGATAGAAAATAAGAAGACACATATTGAAAAATGACAAGTTTATGTAGTAAAGAATATTGTCATGCACTCTAGTATATTTAGTGAAGAGGAAAGCCCCTTGTTTTTATTTTAATTTAGTAAAATACTTCAGCTTGTGTCATGTAACGTCACTAAAGTGGATTTGAGTGTGGTGTGTACTTCCCCCCGGGAATCCATCCATAAAATGCATGTTTAATGCTTCTTTCCTAGTTTTACAATATGAACTAGAGAAGTGCATTTTAAAAATCAAAAACATAATATTGACAGGATATTTGTTCTGAAACAAATGTGCATGAGGGAGACAATTAAAAACATTCCTTCTCTGCCAACTGGGTTGACTTCCTGCCAAAACATAAAATATATGACTTCTCCTTAATGGTTCCCTATCTCAACTACTGATATTTCAGAGCTTTCAAAAAAGCCTCCATATTGTCGATTTTTGCTAATTTATCTTCCGTCTTCCATCATTCCTCATAAACAAAAATCTCCTTTCCCTGTGTTTCATTCTCTTACATTCTACTTTGTGAGAGTGGATGTTCCTAATAATGTGCTGATTATTATATCAGGATGCATTCAATTGCAAGAACAGACAATTTGACTTCAATAATAAGGTAACTTGCAATCTCTCATAACCATAATTTCAGAGTTTCAGAGTGTGCTCAGTGTCAACAGAGACCTAGGTTCTAATTCTCAGTGGGTTTTGCTATACTATGGGTAGCATATGTAGTGGAGCTGTATTGTCAACTTAGCTGCTAAGTTGGAATTATGTTTCTCAGAATTTCATTCCCTGTATAGCTCTGAGTTATCAAGGGTCACAAGAGTCATTTTGTGTGAGATTTGGAAGGCAGAAATGAAATAGCAGTCAAATTACTTTTATACTTGGAAGGTTGGTGCAGGGGCACCACGTTCACACATGTCGTCACTTATGACTGATCATTTTGGCATGGAGGCAGGAACAGGCCTTCAGGTGTTTCTCCTCCCCATGGATCCTCAAGGTTCTCTGGCTCTTGGGTCAGATGTTTTTAACTCCTTGATGAAAAATACCATCTTCCGCATGGCACCAACATCACTGAATTTAGAAGCAGTGAGAGACCAACAGGAAATCCAGTCCATCTTCATATTATCTGGCTTATTCTTTTTATTTCCCACTTCACATTTATCCCCTTCCCAACTGCCTATTCTGCAGACTTCAAGCTCCAGCACCAGATACAAAATCAATATACTTAAACTGTTCAACAAGGTGCCACAATTGCGTATAGAGAGTGTCAAATATCTATTTAAATTATATGCATATATATATGTTTATCTTATCAAACCCAAATACAGCTTTTCTTTCAACTTAAAATCATTGTAATTGTAATTACAAGTGAAACAAGAGTGGAGGTTACACAAGATTTCTCAAACTGTGTTATGCAACTCTAAGGGAGTAATACATGTAAGACTAAGAATATACAATTATTTTTTTATTGGTATTGCAAAAGCCTAAATGATGCTGGCAAAAACCAAAGAGGTTTGAAGTTAAAAAAGTAGAAGTACTCTGAGGTAAAAGATCAGGTATCATAGAAAAGAAGCAGTGTAGTATGGGGGCAAACTCATATGCTTTCGCAAAAAATTGCTTGGGCCCTAACTCTGCCTCCAACCCTAGGGGCTATGTTACCTGGGACACATTATTTAAACTCTCTGAGCCTTAGTTTTCTCATTTTACATATGGAAATAATGGGAATAACTTCTCATTAAACTGTTGTGAAGATCATATGAGATAATACGCATGAGAAGGAGAAAGTGTTCAATAAATGCTTAGCTATCGTAATTATAATGATGATGGTGATGTTATTAATAACCATAATGACATGTATCCATGATTATGTTGTCTTGAGCAACCCTGAATGTAAGGTTATTGGGAGAACTTCCCAGTGTTATTTCAAAAATTAAATTTGAGAAAATTTAAAACCAGAATTCAAATAAGTAAAAACTTAGAATATAAATTTACTATTTTTTAAAAAAATTATTACTTTAGTCTGAATTCATGCTCATGAAGAAGGCAGAGTCTTAATCCTGTAAAAAATAATAATGTTTCTTTAATAAAAAACACAACAGTCCAAGTTGGATGTGGATAGTTTGAGAGTTTAGATAAAAGAAAGTTCTAAAACTTGAAGGTAAGCTTCATATAGTTACAAAATACATTGTTTAATGTTGAACTTAGGCCAGATAAAGTTACATTTTTATCACCCACATTTTCATGAGTATAAAGCATTTCAAAATAGATGCTAGCTTCTTGCATTTTAGAGAGATCAGAACCTATGTGAACTGTAGAAGAAAAGAGCAAGAAACTTCATGCCAGCTGTTTTTTGACTCAAGATCAGGCTCTGGCACTTGCTACCAATAACATTGAAGGGAATCATTTAGTATTTCCAGGCCACTTTTTGCTTCACTGTGAAATAAAAAGATAATAGATTCTTCACAAGGTTGATCAGAGGACCATATGAACAAATGTATGTGAACTGCAAACACTACAGTTATGTAAACTGCAAAGTTGAATTAATATTGTCTACCTGTATCTCTCCCACAAGCTGTTGTTACTGAGACAAACTTCTGCACATGGACTTGTCTGTGGAAGTGGCACAAATAGACGAATCCAAGATGTAATTGTAAAACAGTGGAGGCACAAACAAAAGGTGCTTTATCCAAATACAAAACAAACAAAATGACCTTGAATGTTTATTTATTTATTTTTTATTTTTTTGAAATGGAGTCTGGCTCTGTTACCCAGGCTGGAGTGCAATGGTGCAGTCTCGGCTCACTGCAACCTCTGCCTCCCAGGTTCAAGTGATTCTCCTGCCTCAGCCTCCCAAGTAGCTGGGACCACAGGCATGCACCACCATGCCCAGCTAATTTTTGTATTTTTAGTAGAGACGGGGTTTCACCATTTTGGCCAGGATGGTTTCCATCTCTTGACCTCAAGATCCACCCACCTCAGCCTCCCAAAGTGAATGTTTATTTTTAAAGAGACGATGGGTTTATGTAAAGTTTTTATCACATGCTTTCCCATGTTGCCCTTGGGATCAGTTCATGAGACTTAGTTTGAGTAAAGAATATAGAATATTTTCACAAAGAGATGTTTCTCTGTGGAAACCCACTGGACTTAAGGGGTTCAGAATTGCAAGCTTCGTCTTATTAGCTTTATGCTGGAACCAGTAGAGGAAAAATATGGGTTGCAGAAAGAATATAAGACAAGTGTGCTTGGATTTCTGTGGAATAAAACAAAACAAAACAAAACAAAAAAAACTCCTTATTGATTAAATTTCACTCTAGGAACTTTGAAGCTTACATCTTTTGTCCAAATTGTAACCGTAGGAAATAAATAGCTGATGCTTTCTTCTATACTAATAAAGATAATGATCTGTTTCTAAAGTACACCTAAATTTCAGTTTTTAAAAAAAACAAACTTCTCTACCACTATCGCAAAGAACAAGGCACCTGGTACATAGAATAAGCTCCTGTTGAGGCTTTTTTTGCTGATTGAATGTGCAAATTAATAAACGTAATTGGGGAGATAATGGATGTACAAAAAGTTTGGCTAGAGAGATGAAGAAGAAATTTTGGGGTTTTAGGAAGAATGTACTGGTGGGTTGTTTCTTTCCTTTCCTAAACTTGGCCTCAATTTCTCTTTTAATTTCTTCATTGAACCATGTGCTATTTAGTAGTCTGTGGCTTAATATACAAACATTTGGGAATTTTCTAGGTAAATGTTTGTTAGACATTAGTTTGGATGATTTCTATTGACGTGCATTTATCTTTTATTCTGTTACATTTAATCTGTTATTAAATCCAGCCAGTTTTGTTTTGTTTTGTTTTTTACAGTCAGATATTGAATACTTTGTTCCTGGAAGTTTCAACCAGTACTTTTTATAGCTTTATGTGAAATCCCCTATTTGCATCCTCATTATGCTTACATTTTCCTTTAAAAAGTCAACAAATTCATAATAGCTATTTTAAAGTCCACATCTGCTAATTGCATTATCTCTTTCATTTCTGGATCAGTTTCTTTTGATTAATTATTTTCTTCTTCAGATCACATTTTTTTCTGCCTCTTTGTTATTTTTTTTATTGTAAATGAAAAACATTATGGTTGTTATATTGTTGAGTGTCTGGGTTTTAGTCGTTAATGGAGTATTAAGTTTGTTTTGGCAGAAAGTTAAATTACTTGCATATCCCCTGTACCCTTTTGAGGCTCTGTTTGTTTGTTTGTTTTGTTTGTTTGTTTTTTGAGACAGAGTCTTGCTCTGTCACCCAGACTGGAGTGCAGTGGCACCATCTAGGCTCACGGCAACCTCCATTGAGGCTTATTTTTAAGATACATTATGGTGAGGCTAGGGTGGCCTTTACTCTAGGACTAAATTAACTCATAAATTGCGGCGTTTTGAGGTATCTACTGAATTCTCAAAGTGTTAAAAAAAAAAAAAACTCCATTCTTACTGGTCAAAAATCAACCACTTCCCAACCCTTTGGGAGCTCTAGTGATTGCTTACTTTATGACTCCCTGGTAATTATTCTCAAATATCTCTCCTCAGTTGAAGTTCTTACTCACCTTGAGGACTCTGTGCACATGCACTGCACAACTATGTATTTGTACATAGTAAAAAGTGAAAAAAAAGGTCAAAGACTCAAAAGGTCTTCTGTACAGGTTTCTAGAGCTCCTTATGTGCACAGCTCTCCTCTCTGACAAACTGCCCCGAGGTTTCTAGACAATTTTAGTAGACTAGAGCTCCAATCTCTGTCTCTTGGGTGACAACTGGATTGCCATCTTAAAAAAAGTTGAACTGTATCTCTACCTCAATTCTTTTAAATTTATTTTTATTCTGGGGGGTACCCAGTAGGGGTATATATTTATGGGGCACATGAGATGTTTTGATATAGGCACACAATGTGTAATAAACACATTATGAAGAATGGGGTATCCAACTTCTCAAGCATTTATCTTTTCTGCTACAAACAATCTATTTATACTGTTTTAGTTATTTTAAAATATACATTTAAATTATTATTGACTATAGTCACCTTGTGGTGCTATCAAATAATGTCGTATTCATTCTTTCTAACTATTTTTTGTACCCATTAACCATGCCCATATTATCCTGACCCCTGCTCCTCTATCTTTCTCAGCCTCTGGTAACCATCTTTCTACTCTCTATGTCCATAAGTTCAGTTGTTTTGATTTTAAATCCTACAAATAATTGAAAACATGTGATGTTTGTCTTTCTGCACCTGGCTTATTTTACTTAACATAATGATCTCCAGTTCCATCCATGTTGTTGCAAATGACAAGATTTCTTCTTTTTTCCAATGGCTAAATTGTACCTCAATTCTAACACTACATAAATTTCAAGTGAATAAAAATTTAAATGTAAATATATATAAATGTAAATATATACAATTTTAAAAGTAGCAAAAATGAAAGAAAAATACTTCATACTGTGAAATGTTATTTTGAAATATGTTTTAATATGAAAAATTTTAATATACACAAAAGTAGAGAAAATAGAATAATAAACCACTGTGCATCTACATCTCAGCTTCAACACTTTGCAACCTATAGCCAATCTTGTTTCAGGTTTATTATCCATCAACTTCCAACCCCCATCATATCTCCCACCACACAGAGAACAGATTATTTTGAAGCAAAATCAGAAACCATGTAATTTCACCTACAAAATAGTTCAGTTTGTATGTGTAAAATATGTGTATTTATTAAAAAATCAACCCTGAAACTTTAATGTACCTAAAAAATAAATGTATCTATTTTACAATTTATTTGCTCAAATCAGGTTCCAGACAATGTCATTTGGTTCACATGTCTCTAGTTTCCCCCTCCCTATTTTTTCTCTTGGAATTTACTTATTGAAACAGCTAGGTAATTCACCCTAAAGTGTTTCTTTTTATTTTACAATTTATTGATTACATTCCTGTGATGTTATTCAACTGGATCTTCAGTGCTTTGTATCTTCTGTAAACAGGTAACTACTTCTAGAGTCTTAATCAGTTTCAGGTTGGAATTTTTGGCAAGAAGAGGATATAGTTGGTGTACTTCACCAGAATACAAAGAATTCCTGATGTTAAGATTGATACATAGGTTGAACTGTTATTGGTCTAATCCATCCAATATTAAGTCCCTCATCAGCTTTTTATGCAATGGTTTTAATAGCCATAAATCATAATCATCTAGATTTATTATTTTATTAAATATTGAAGAATGGTGGTATTCTATTTCTATCATTCCTCCACTTATTATCTGTAAAACTTCTATGAAAAAAAGTTTCCATCCTCAGCTATTTGTTAAGGCTGAGGGATTCTTTGTATCACAGATATGGGATAAAGGCTTGATTTCTCCACCCTTGTCACATCTCAGAATAAGAGGTTGGTTCCCTGAAATCCTCCAAAACTGATCAATAAGATTGTAACACTATAATTATAAAATCATACATATTAACATATTGGATGTGCTGTAATCATTGCAGTCATTTTTTCTTTGATGCTCAAATTTTACATTATTTATTGTTACAGCCCTTTCAAATTGGCTCGTCATTTTGACATGACCAAATAGTAATTACTAGTTTCCCTGCTTTTCTATTATGAAAACATGTTTAAACTCATTTTATACATTTCTTAAAGCAGACTTGGAATTAACTATTTTTCCAAAGATGGTGCTTTCTTTAAATGAAAATGGTATTTAGAGACCAGAATCTATGAGATGATAATGATGAATTGGTTAATGTTTTTTGAATTTTTAATGGAAGAAATTTAAGAATCATTTCTTGAGTAATATGTATCATTGAAGAAAAAATACATCATGACATACATGTAGACATGCTGTAACTCAAACTCAAATTTAGAATTATAACAATTTTCAGTTTGTTTTACTTAACTTCTTCAATTCTATTTTTATGTCTTAAGCCAAAAACTCTAACAACATCAAATAATTATTGTTTGCACTTGCAATAGCTAACATTTCAGAATAACAGTATCAACACTATTACTAGCAGTCTGGTTGCTAAAAAATTAAGATTTACTTTTGGTTATTTTTGTCATTAAGATATACTCTCACAGTTATACAGTCAAAATATTCCCTAAATATTCCTACAATCTGCAATTCCTAGGAATATCTGTGTGTGTATGTATGTATATATGTTTAGCCTTACATTTTTAAACTTTCCATTTATTTATTTATTATAATTATTTCTTAATTATACTTTAAGTTCCAGGATACATGTGTAGAATGTGCAGATTTATTACACAGTTATACACATGCCATGGTGGTCTGCTGCACCTATCAACCCATCATCTACATTAGGTTTTTCTCCTAGTGCTATCCCTCCCCCAGCCCCCCATGCTCTGACAGGCCCCAGGGTGTGATGTTCCCCTCCCTGTGTCCATGTGTTCTCATTGTTCAACTCCCACTTATGAGTGAGAACATGTGGTGTTTGCTTTTCTGTTCTTGTGTTAGTTTGCTGAGGATGATGGTTTCCAGTTTCATCCATGTCCCTGCAAAGAACATGAACTTATCCTTTTGTATGGCTGCATAGTATTCCATGGAGTATATGTGCCACATTTTGTTTATCCAGTCTATCATTGATGGACATTTGGGTTGGTTCCAAGTCTTTGCTATTGTGAACAGTGCCACAGTAAACATACATGTGCTTGTGTCTTTATAGTAGAATGATTTATAATCCTTTGGGTGTGTACCCAGTAATGGGATCACTGGATCAAATGGTATTTCTGGTTCTAGATTCTTGAGAAATCGCCACACTGTCTTCCACAATGGTTGAACTAATTCACAGTACCACCAACAGTGTAAAAGTGTTCCTATTTCTCCACATCCTCTCTAGCATCTGTTGTTTTCTGACTTTTTAATGATTGCCATTCTAACTGGTGTGAGATGGTATCTCATTGTGGTTTTGATTTGCATTTCTCTAATGACCGGTGATGATGAGCTGTTTTTCATACATTTGTTGGCTGCATAAATGTCTTCTTTTGAGAAGTGCCTGTTCGTATTTGTTGCTCACTTTTTGATGGGGTTGTTTGTTTTTTTTCTTGTAAATTTAAGTTCTTTGTAGATTCTGGATATTAGCCCTTTTTTAGATGGATAGATTGCTAAGATTTTCTCCCATTCTGTAGGTTGCCTGTTCACGCTGATGATACTTTCTTTTGCTGTGCAGAAGCTCTTTAGTTTAATTAGATCCCATTTGTCAATTTTGACTTTTGTTGCCATTGCTTTTGGTGTTTTGGTCATGAAGTCTTTGCCCATGCCTATGTCCTGAATGGTATTGCCTTGGTTTTCTTCTAGAGTTTTTATGGTTTTAGGTCTTATGTTTAAGGCTTTAATCCATCTTGATTTAATTTTTGTATAAAGTGTAATTAAGGGGTCCTTTTTCTGTTTTCTGCATATGGCTAGCCACTTTTCCCAACACCATTTATTAAATAGGGAATCCTTTTCCCATTGTTTGTTTGTGTCAGGTTTGTCAAAGATCAGATTGTTTTAGATGTGTGATGTTACCTCTGAGGTCTCTGTTCTGTTCCATTGGTCTATATATCTGTTTTGGTACCAGTACCATGCTGTTGTGGTTACTGTAGCCTTGTAGTATAGTTTGAAGACAGGTAGCGTGATGCTTCCAGCTTTGTTCTTTTTGCTTGGGATTGTCTTGGCTTTGTGGGCTCTTTTTTGGTTTCATATGAAATTTAAAGTAGTTTCTTCCAGTACTGTGAAAAAAGTCAATGGTAGCTTGATGGGGATAGCATTGAATCTATAAATTACTTTGAGCAGTATGGTCATTTTCATGATATTTGTTCTTCCTATCCATGAGCATAGAATGTTTTTTCCCTTTGTTTGTGTCTTCTCTTATTTCCCTGAGCAGTGATTTGTAGTTATCCTTGAAGAGATCCTTCACATCCCTTTTAAGTTGCATTTCTAGGTATTTTATTCTCTTTGTAGCAATAGTGAATGGGAGTTCACTCATGATTTGGTTCTCTGTTTGTCTACTATTGGTGTATAGGAATCCTTATGATTTTTGCACATTGATTACGTATCCTGAGACTTTGCTGAAGTGGCTTATCAGCTTAAGGAGATTTTGGGCTGAGACAATGGTACAATCGTGTCATCTGCAAACAGATTGGTGTACCATTTGTTTTTAATATAAGGTAGTTTGTGTGCATATATATATATATATATATATATATATATATATATATATGACTCCATATCCCCTTTTATTTAATATATAGTAGCATACCATGTACAATCTTCTCTGTCTTTTTTTCTCTCCTAATAGTATTTCCTAAAGATCACTGCATAGCAGTATATAAAGATAATTCTTATTCAATTTTTTGCAGTGCCATAATAATTCATTGTGTAGATGAATAGTTTACTCAACTAAATTACTCTAGATGAATATTTGAGTTCTTTACAGTCTACATAAAATAGGGCTATGATAAAAAGTCTTTGAATACATTTTTTTTTTGCCACAACACTTTTGGGATGCTAGAATTGAGATTGTTATATCTAAGGGTAAATGCATAGAGATGACTGTTCCATGTAAGAATGCTTTTCTATTCATGATAAATAAAACCTAAAAGTAATGAAAAGAAATGTTTATTATGGTTATTATTCAGGGTTCTTCAGAGAAACAGAACCAATAGGAGATACACACACAAAGATTTATTATAGAAATTTGCCCACACAATTATGTAGACCAAAAAGTTCCAGAATCTGCTGTATCTAAGCTAGAGAACCAGGAAAGCCTGTGTTGTAATTCAGTCTGAGTCCAAAGACCTTAGAACCAGAGGGACTGATGCTGTAACTCCCAGTCCAAGTCTAAAGACGTATAAACTGTTTGTGGGGAGATGGGGGGAACAGTGGTATAAGTTAGGCAGTTTTGTATACAGTCCAAAATCTAAAGGGCAAAGAACCAGGAGTTCTGAGATCTATGGGCAGGAGAAGATGGATATCTCAGCTCAGAAAGAGAGAGAGAGAGAGAATGAATTCATCTTCCTCAACCTTTTTGTTCCATCCAATCCCTCAGTGGATTGGATGATGCCCAAAACATTGGTGAGGGTAGATCTTGTTTACTCAGTCTACTGATTCAAATGCTAATTTATTCTGGAAACTCCTACACTGTCACACCCAGAAATAATGTTTTACTATCTGAATGTCCTTTACCGGAGTCAAGTTGACAAATAAAGGTAACTATTACAAATACTATGAATAAATAAAATTAAAACCAAAGTTTGGTATGGCAAAACCACCGGATACAAAACCAAAGAGCAAACTATAAACTCATAAAAATATGGGTAGCTGGCCGGGCGCGGTGGCTTATGCCTGCAATCCCAGCACTTTGTGAAGCCTAGGTGGGCGGATCACAAGGTCAGGAGATCCAGAGACCATCCTGGCCAGCATGGTGAAACCCCATCTCTACTAAAAATACAAAAATTAGCTGGGTGTGGTGGCATGCACCTCTAACCCCAGCTACTTGGGAGGCTGAAGCATGAGAATCGCTTGAACCCAGGAGGCAGAGGTTGCAGTGAGCCGAGATCGCGCCACTGCACTCCAGCAGGGAGACAGAGCGAGACTCGGTCTCAAAAAAAAAAAAAAAAAAAAAAAAAAAAAATTTAGCTAAAATAACAGTCAAAGGACAAATATCTGTTCTATTTTAAAAAGCATATATATATAAATGAAAATTCTAGTAGAAAAATGAGCCAAGAGAGTGAGCACTTTACAGAAAAGTAAATACAAATGGCATATAAACTCTGGATGGATTTATGGATCTGAAATATGACAGATTAGGTAAATGCATATTAAAACCGCAATAGCATACCACTTTTTTTCTGATCAGAGGAGAAAATATAATTTAAAGATGTGATCATATACTCCATTAGAATCTTGCAAAGTAAGCACTCTCATGTGTTGTCAGAGGGAATCAAAATGGTCATAACCTCTGTGGACAGCACATTTGTTTCATTTGTAAATGTTAAAACTATATATATTCATTGGCATATACACTTTATTTTAGCCTATGTTTCCTAGAAAACAGAGCCTGAGGGAAGGATAAATTGCTAATGCTTATGTGGGAAGTATTATATGGAGACACTGAGTGAGGAGAAATGAAAACGAGGAAAGGTAAAACATAATGCAAGGTGACTAATTTCTATTCTGGCTTCTGCTCCACAACAGACTGTGAAGCAGGTTTCCTATCAATTACAACTGATTAGCCACAGAGGCTCTTTTCAGACAGTTTTCAGGGAGAAATCACACCGCTGTAAGTTCATCGAAATGAAAAAGGGAGATGGAATTTTTCTGCCGGGTTTTTCCTCATTTTATATCTTCCACTGGTAAAATGTCACCCCTATTTTCTAACCTCCCAGGTTACATTATTCAGCTCCTCAGAAGCCATTCAGGAAAACATACCCCAAACCCTAAGGCGTTGCATTTAATCTGAATACACAAAAGGTAAGTGGAACCAGAAACCGCAGGCTAATGGGTAATTATCCTCAAGCCAAGTAACTGAAAGGAACTGGTTTTATCTGGTGCTAGTCGAGACAGATCAAGAAGTTGGGAATCCAAGAGACGCAAGAGGCCAAGAGAATCTGAGGATGTGAATAAGGTATGTTTAATAGAGCCCATTCTTGTGCCACTCAACTCTATTTGTAATCTGCCATTGTGTCTGGCTCCTACACTTCATTTCTCAGACCCTCATTGTATGTGTGTGTCGAAGGGTGGGAAGTAACAAGCTGCCTTCACTTGTCTCTGAGAAAGTATAAGTCTAGTGAGTCACAGAGTCTACTTCACGTAGGTAAATAGACATGATCTGTTAAAAACAAAACAAAACAAAAAACAAAGCTTCAGACAAAAATAAGATTAGTGAAAGAAGCTGCAGTCCCCACTGCTAATAACAGGTAAATGTATGCTATAACATGTAAGAATCTTCCTAATATAATACAGAGACTAAAAAGCCACATGTGTGACCACATGCTGCATAATTTGTTTTATACAAAGTTTAAACGTAGGGAAATCCAACATATGGTTTCAGAAGCACAAATAATGATTATATTTGTTAAGCAAAGGGTTTGGGGCCTTTTAATTTCCTTATGAACTTTAGAATTTCCGTGTTAATTTTCACCAAAATAATTCACTGAATTTTTACTGCGATTTCATTACATCTTGTCAGTGGCCTGTTTGAACTGCTGGAAGGTGATAAATATTTTCAGAGGTATGTTTATTTATAAATATTAGCTTTGTTATACAAACATACTTAAGTAGTTGCATTTTTGTCATCAATTACAAATCTTTTGGGGCAGTGTGTTTGTTTTAATCTGAGGCAGGCACAGAAATTATGGCTGTAGAGATTTCTCAAAGCTCACTTGACATTCTGTTGTAAACATGTGTTTAGGCAAGAAAAAGAGATTATTTTTTTCATTCAACACATGACCCAGTTGGTGGGTAGATTCCCACCAACCATAGGGTCAATTGTAAAACTCATTTCTGTCACCCACTCTGTGTCAAATATATGTGGAATCTGTGTGGAAGTATATACAGATACTATGTTAATATGGACAATACATATGTATATCTATATACTTATATGGATTCCATATATATACATGTAGATTTATTACTGGATTATATTTGAGTAGATCAATTTGACTAGATTAAATGGATTTGATATACCCACTATATATGGAAATATATATTTTTGTTATTAATTCATATATTTTTGATAGACAAATCATAATTGTATATATATACAGGGCACAATGTGATGCTTTGATCTACTTATAGAATGAAGAATGATGAACTCAAGCAAATTAACATATCTATCTTCTCACTTATCATTATTTGTGATGAGACATTTACTCTTATTTACTTTGAAATATACATTATTATTGCAATAAAAATAAAAACTTATGCCTCCTGTCTAACTGAAACCTTGTGTCCCCTGACCATCAACTCCCAACTCCCTCCCACCATTCCCCAGCCTCTGGTAACCATCATTCTACCCCCTACTTCTATGAGTTCAAGTTTTACAGATTCTATATATAAGTGAGATAATTCAGTATTTGTCTTTCTGTGACTGGCTTATTTCACTTAGCATAATGTCGTCCAGGTTCAAGCATAATGTCTTAAATTACAAGACTGCTTTCTTTTTTTAAGGCTGAATAGCATTCTTTTGTTTGCTTATACCACATTTTCTTTATTCATTCTTCCACTGATGGACACTTAGGTGGATCCCATATCTTGTCTGCTGTGAATAATACTGCAGTGAATATGGGAATCCAGATAACCCTTCAAAATATTGATTTCAGTTCATTTGCATAAATACTCAGCAGTGGGATTGCTGGATCATATGGTAGTTCTATTTTTAGTTTATTAAGGAATCTTCATACCTTTCATAGTAGCTGGACCAGTACCAGTACATTGCCGATTTTGGTCACTATAAACATGCAGTATAATGAAGCCAGATAATGTGATGATTCCAGGTTGTTCTTTTTGTCTAGGATTACTCTGGCTATTTGCAATCTTTTTTGTTCTATATAAATTTTGGAATTTTTTTTCCTAATTCTGTGAAAAAGTGAAATTGGTAATTCCATAAGTATTGCTTTGAATCTGTAAATTACATTAGACAGTATGGTCATTTTAATAACATTGATTTATCCAATCCATGAACAAGTGATTTTTTTTCATTTGTTTGTTTCATCTCTGATTTCTTTTATTAGTGTTTTGTATTTTTCCTTGTAAATACCTTTCATTTCCTTGGTTACATTTCTTGAGGTATTTAATTTTTGTCATGTGACTATTGTAATTGAAATTGACTTATTGATTTAGTTCTCAGCATAAATATTATTGGTTTATAGAAATGTTACTAGAGTTTGTAAAGTCAAAATACAGCAGATGTTGATGAGAATGTGGGGAAAAAGAAACACGTATACACTATTGGTGGGAATGTAAAGTAATATGTCTATAGAAGACAAATTTCTCAAAGAACTAAAAATAGAACTACCATTAATTCCAATCATCCCACTACTGAGTACGCAAAGGAAAATAAAATCATATCCAAGACACCTGTACTCATGTGTTTATCACAGCATTAGTCACAGTAGCAAAGTAATGAAATTGACCTAAGTATCCATCAGTGATTGATTTATGTAATAAACGTGCACATGTACTCCTTGAATCTATAAAAATAAATTTTATATGTGTGTGTGTGTGTGTGTGTGTGTATATATATATATATGCATCAAACAATAGGGCTCCAAAATATGTGAAGCAAATATTGACAGAATGAAAAGGGGAGACAGAAAGCTCTGCAATAATAGTAGGAAAGTTCAATAACCCACTTTCAATAATTGATAGAAAATAAGACAGATGATCAGGAAGGAAGTCAAGAACTTGATCAACACTATAATACATGTAGGTATAACAAGCATTTACCAAACACTCCAGCAAACAACAGTAGAATATGCATTTTTCTTAATTACTCATGAAACACTCTTCAGGATATACCATATGTTAAGCCACCAAACAAGTCTTGATAAATTCTGAAAGACTGAAATTATACAAATTATCTTTTCAAATCACAATGGAGTGAATATAGAAATCAATAACAGAAGAAAAACTGTAAAACTGGCAAGTAGATAAAAATAAAGCGACATATCCTTAAACAACCAATAGATCAAGGAATAAATCAGAGGAGAAATTAGACAATATTTTAAAACAAATTAATTCCAAAACACAGCATACCAAAACATATGAATGCAGCAAAAGTAGTGCTCAGAAGGAAAATTAATAGCTGGAAACACATCAAAAAAAGAAAAAGGTTAACTAAAATAATTAATTACACCACTTAAAATGTTTTAAAAAGAAAAAAATTAAACCTACTGCTAGCAAAAGGAAGCAAATAATAAAGATTATAGCAGAGCTAACTAAAACAGAGAATACAAAAAAAAGAAAAATCAATAAAATCAAATGTTGGTTCTTCAAAATGAACTACAAAATTTTAAAATTATAGCCAAAGACTACATTGACTAAAACAAAAAAAAAAATGACTTAATTTACTAAAATCAGAAAAAAAACAGAATAATTCTAACAATCTTACAGAACTAATAGGATCATAAGAGAGTACTATGAGCAAGTGTGCACCAAAAACTGGATTACCTAGATGAAATAAACAAATTCCTTGAAACACACAACTTGCCAAGACTGAATCATGAAGAAACAGAAAATCTGAACAGATTCATAAACAATGAGGAGAAGAATCAGGAATCAAAAATCTCACAACAAAAAAAGCCCTGGAGCAGATGGCTTCATTAATGAATTCTTTTAAAAATATTGGTAAATGAATAAACAGCAATTCTTTTAAAACCTTTCCGAAATAATAAAGAGAATGAACACTTCTTAACTCATTCTATGAGGCCAACATTTTCCTAATGCCAAATCCAAAGACGCTACATAAAAGAAAACTACAGGCTACTATACCTAATGAATGTTGATGCAAAAAATTTCAACAACATACTAGTAAATGAAATTATGAAGTACAATAAAAGGATTATACACTAGGACAAAGTGCAATTTTTCTTAAATGTGATGTATTATGATAGTGTTCCAAGAAAATGAAGGAGAAGAAACCGTTGTCTTGATGCAGAAAAACATTTCACAAAATTAAACATTCCTTATAATAAAAACACAGCAAATTAGGAATAGAAGGAAACAACCTCAATAAATAATGGCCATATATGAAATATCTTGAAATATCCATATTTAGCATCATAGTCAATAATGAAAGACTAAAAGCTTTTCATCTAAGTTCTGAAAGATTATCCTTAGCAAACTAACATAGGAACAGAAAACCAAACACCTCATGTTCTAACTTGTAAGTGGGAGCTAAATGACGAGAACACATGGACACAAAGACTAGAACGACAGACACTGGCGCCTACTTAAGGGTGGAGAGGTGGGGGAGAGAGAGGATTAGAAAAAATAACTATTGGGTGCTAGGCTTAGTGCCTAGGTAATGAAATAAACTGTACAACAAACCCCAATGACATGAGTTTACCTATATGACAAACCTGCACACGCACCTCGAACTTAAAATTTTAAAAAAAGAATGCTTGATTTCACTGGGTGTATTCAACATAGAACTGGAAGTTCTAGCCAGGGCAGTTAGGTAAGAAAAAGAATTAAACGTAATTGAAATTGAAGAAGTAAAATTATTTCTGTTTGTATAAGACAGGATCTTTTTAATAGAAAACATTGAGGATGCTATAAAATACTATTGGATCAAATAAGAGAATTAAACGAAGTTGCAGAATACAAAATTAACACAAAAATATGTTTTGTTTCTACACATTCACAATAAATATTATGAAAACAAAATTAGAAAAACAATTCAGTTTATAATAGCACCAAAAAGAGTAAAGTATTTAGGATTAACCATATAAAGAAGACAAAAACATATACACTGAAAACTACAAAAATCACTGGAAGAAATTAAAGAATTTATAAGTATATGAAGAGACCTTTTGTGTTCATGGGTTGTCAGATTTAATATTGTGAAGATGTCAATACCACCAAAGAGATGTACAGATTCAATGCAAACCCAATCAAAAATCCAAATGACATTCTACGGCAAAATTAGAAAAATCTACCCCAAAATTCATGTGGAATTTCAAAGGACTCTGAATAGCCAAGAAATCATTTTAAAGAGAGAGAGATTTGGAGGTGCCACACTTCCTGATTTCAAAACTTATTACAAAGCTATGGTAATGAAAATAGTGTCATACTATCCTAAAGACACACATAAATGCATAGAATAGAGAGCCCAGAAATAAATCTGCACATTCATAGTCAAATGATTTTTGGCAAGATTCCAAGACAATTTAGTAAGAAATGAATAGTCTTTTCAATAAGCGGCCCTGGGGAAATTGGATATAAATATGCAAAAAAAAATGAAGTCGGATTAATTAATTACTATGTAAAGAATTAATTCAAAGTGGATCAAAGTCCTAAAAATAAGAGCTACAAGTAGTAAACTCTTAGATAGAAATATATGAGAATATTTTCATTACATTGGGTTAGGCAAGATTTCTTGAATATGACACCAAATAGAGACAATAAAAGAAAAAAATAGATGAAATGGACTTCAGCAAAATTTAAAAACTGTTATACACCCAAGGACACTGACATAAGTGTGAAAAGGGAGAATATATTTGCAAATCATATATCTGATAAGGGATATGAGTATATAAAAACCTCACCTCTACAATTGAACTACAACAAAAACAATTGAAAAAATGGGCAAAGCATTCGAATAGACATTTCTCCAAAGTAGATATACAAATGGCCAATGAGCACATGAAAAGATACCCGACATCACTAATCATCAGGGAAATTCAAATCCAAAACTACTATCAGGGCCGGCGCGGTGGCTCATGCCTGTAATCCCAGCACTTTGGGAGGCCGAGGTGGGCGGATCACAAGGTCTGGAGATCGAGACCATCCTGGCTAACACGGTGAAACCCCATCTCTACTAAAAATACAAAAATTTCGCCGGGCGTGGTGCGAGGTGCCTGTAATCCCAGCTACTCGGGAGGCTGAGGCAGGAGAATGGCGTGAACCCGGGAGGCGGAGCTTACAGTGAGCCAAGATCGCACCACTGCACTCCAGGCTGGGCAACAGAGCAGGACTCGGTCTCAAAAACAAACAAACAACAACAGCAAAAGACTATCAGATACTCTTCACACACAGTAGGATGGTTCTTAAAACAAAACAAAACAAACAAAAACAACCAAACAGACAAACAAGAATACTAAGTAACAACTGTTGATAAGTATGCACAGAAATTGAAAGCCTGTGCACCGTTGGTGGAAATGTAAAATGGTGCAGCAGCTTTGGAAAACAGTGTGGCAGCTCCTTAAAAACTTAATGTACCATTGCTATATGATGATTTAGAAATTCCACTTCTTGGCATATACCCAAAATAATTGAAAGCAGATACTTGAAGAGATATTTGTATATCAATGTTCATAGCGGCATTATTTATAATAGCCAAATGTGGTTACAACCCAAATGTCCATTACCAATGAATGGATAATCAAAATTAGTATACACCTGCAGTGGAATATCATTCAGCCTTGAAAAATTGAAATTTTGAAACATGCTACAACATAAATGAACCTTGAAAACATTATGCTAAGTGAAATAAATTATACAGAAAAGGACAATTATTGTACGATTTCACTTATATTAAGCACCTGGAATAATCAAATTCATAAAGACAGAAAGTACACAATAGTGGTTACCAGGGGTTGAGGGAAGGGGAGAATGAGGAGTTATTTATTAATAGGTATGTTGCTTCGGTTTGGGATGATGAGAAAATCTCGAGACGGATATTTACAATGTTTTCACAGCAATGTGAATACAATTCATGCTGCTGCTAGCTACACTTCAAATGGTTAAAAGGTGAATTTGTATATTATGTGTATTTTACCACAAGTAAAAACATATTAAGCACTTTCTATACCTGCTACCATATATTGTATTGGACAATAGGGCCAAAGAGATTACAGTCTTTGCAATAAAGTAGAAGTGTATGCCTCTAATATACTTTCATGTGTTATTTTTATGGTATCATCTTAAGAGATTGATGTTTAGAAAAGGATAAAAATGGTATGAAATAGTATGTATCAATTTGATTATTTCCTATTTTTTTCTGTTACTTATATTTTCTGACTGAAGGAGTTTTATGATAGAGCTACCTTTTGTTTACCATCAGGTTTATAGTTATTAGGTGCCCAGTCGGCTTTTTGTTTTCATTGGAAATATTCTTACTCTGAATTTTGTGTAGATGTTTCTTTGGGGAACTGGTGCTGAAGGAAAAACATAATAAACTTATTGTCAAGCAATTAAAATATAGACGTTTTTACTGCACACAGACCCAGCGTATTTATACAGGTATATGAGACTATATTAAAGCAATACTTTCTCCATAGTATTTGGCACTAATCAAACTGATGTAAACATATTGTGAAACTGTAACATTTACTATTCAAGATAGAACACTTATAAGCTGACATAGTCACACTACCTCAATAATTAAATATTTTAGGAGATAATTGCATCTTAACAACTTAAATAGTACATTAATTAGAGCTAAAAATGTTGTCAGATACAGAAAGGGCAGGTCTTAGGAAAAGCAATTATTTGAATAATACCTGACTAATTTGATAAATTTAGACAGTCTTCCCAAATCTGAACAAATCAACACCTTTGAAGTATGAATTAGCTGCTCTGGCTATCTACATTGATCAAACTAATCACTGTAGTCAGTGTAGACAAAGTCGAACACTCCTGCTCCAAGAGGAAAGAATGTAATTTTTAAATGACACTGAAAGTTAAATTCAACCGAATCCAGCAGATAAGGAGCAGAACAACTAAACAGATATATTACCAACCCGTTATACCATGAAAGAAGTCATAAAAGGATTTCAAAACTTGCCTTAGAGGATTTTTGAAATATAAGTTTCTGCTTTCTGCTTAATAACTACAAGTAGGCTCACAATAGTGTAGTAATCAAGTTTTCCCCATAGTTTTATATTTTATAAATTAAATGATGTACTCTTTTATTTAGCAATTATAAATATTGTAAATAAATAATGAATTTGATGAGTGACAATAAGCAGCAGCACATTTTACTTTGCAAATCTTAGTGCTGCACATTTATAACTTCTACTTGTGATTTCATAAATATGTATAGCTCCACAGGAATTGAGCTAACAGATGACACTGGGTCCTGGCATATTCATAAACATATGAGATAATCTCTCTGTTGAACAATCAACTTGATTTTTTTATGAGTCGCAGGTGGGAAGTACTTTGTAACTTATACTCTACGATTTAAATTATCCTTCAAGTAATAGTATACACATATTATTATACATAAAAATGTTACAAAAAGTTTTTATTTGATGAAGTATATTCCTCAACCCAGTAGTTTTTACATTTTTAAAAAGCTCTCTTACCTCAAATGTGATTCCTAGCCTAAGAAATTCTTACCATTAGGAGAAAATAACATTGTCATCATGCCATAGGACTTTTTCTTCTAATACATGTGGTAAAAAAAAAATAATGCAAGCTTTAAAGAAGTTATTCAACAAAAATAAAATCAGTTCCTTGGTTGGTTTCTTATATATTTATCTGGAGGTAGCCTATGCGTATACAAACATGTTAGAACATAGATTTTTCATTTATTTTACACAAATTGCAGCATATTACATATATTAGACTCATTGCCCTATGCTTGGCTTTTAAATTGATCCCAAATATCTTGAAAGTCTTTCTATGTCAGTAAATATAGGTCTCCCTCATTCCTTTCAAAAATAAATTAGAACCCTATTGTATTTACTAGAATTTATTTAATGAGTCCTATAACGCTGTTTGTCAATGTTTAGATGAGTTTGTTCAGTCATATCAGCAGAAGAGAACATAAAACAATGTCAAGAGTACAGAACTTAGTATTAAAATAGTTGTGTTCAAATCTTTGCTAGATTACTTAATAACCATGTCACTTTGAAAAGTTCACGTACTATATAGTTACAAAGATGAGGACTTGTTTGACGTAATCCCTGTCCTAAATGACCTCTTCCAAACTACTTAGAAGAAAAAATAGTAGGTAAATATAATGGCTAATAATACCATATTGTACTGCTAAGTAATAAATATATAAAAGCATATTTACTATGTAGATAAAACAATAAGGGTACTATATGTGGTTAACAATGATTATCACTGTTGGTTGAATTTATTTTTCCTGACGGAGATTAAATTTGTAATGGTACGTAAAAGGAACCTGAAGAAAGAGGGGCTTTAAATAGATATGGAAGAGGAGAAAGACACTCACTCTGGGAAAGATAATCAATCATTTACCATATTACCTATTATGATATTTAAATAATTTACATTGTGAAATGTAGTTTCTTCCCCCTCTTTTTGAAGACTTTCACTTTAACATTTTTATTTGCAAGTAAGATATATTTCCAGTGTTTGACTCAGAAACTTATAGGCTGTTACCAAAATCCTCTCCCTCTCTCTTTATTAACCATTGCAAATGTCCTTACTTGGGACAGGAATCAAGTAACAATTCTAAAGTACAATTGGAAATGTTTACAAACTTTCTTTATTATTATACAAATCACACTGTTCTATGCATAATGTCATTATAAATAAAACCCCCTGAATAACAAAAATATTCAAACAGTCTAAGTAACATGATACATGCATATAAGGATAAATAAAACATTTATGATAGATTAACTGTAATGCAGCTATCTATTTATACTCAATTGTTGGTGATATTAGATACAGCACTTTCAGTATTACACACTATTTCTAAAAATCACAGCCTTTCTCTAAGTCCTACAAAATCTCAGTTGTCTATATAGTGACTCAAAAATTAACCTAGGCATTAGCAGGTCTGCATATCATGTATGGTTATTTTGGAAATGGTCTTTGTTTTCTAGACTTTATTCCATTTTTATTATCTAAAATATAAAGTGTAGCTTTTTAAAAGATAATATGAACTACAGGAAATTAGTTATATGGAATATTTAGATGACCATATCAGAAAAACAGGTGTTTTTTTTTTAGCTAAGGAAATTTTGGAAATTATGGGTTAGAAAATTATGGGTTAGAAAGTTAGAGTATTTATTATTTTTAATCCAACTTTTCACTATGAGATACTTATAAATTGCATGCAGTCTTAAAATATAACACAGAGATCCCATGTACTCTTTATCCTACCCTGGTGGTAATATTTACAAAACTACGGTACAATATCAACCAGAGTATCAACTTTGACACAGTCAAGATACATAACAGTTCACTCACTACAAGGCTTCCTCTTGGGTTTTTTTGTCTGTTTTTGTTTTTGTTTTTGTTTTTTTTGAGACAGAGTCTCGCTCTGTCGCCCAGGCTGGGGTGCAGGGGTGCGATCTCGGCTCACTGCAAGCTCCTCCTCCCAGGTTCACACCATTCTCCTGCCTCAGCCTCCCGAGTAGCTGGGACTACAGGCGCCTGCCACCACACCCGGCTAATTTTTTGTATTTTTAGTAGAGGCAGGGTTTCACTGTGTTAGCCAGGATGGTCTCGATCTCCTGACCTCGTGCTCGTGATCCACCTGCCTCAGCCTCCCAAAGTGCTGAGAATACAGGCGTGAGCTACCCCGCCTGGCCTTTTTTTTTTTTTTTTTTTTTTTTTTTTTTTTTGAGACAGAGTCTCCCTCTGTCGCCCAAGCTGGAATGCAGTGGCGCAATCTCGGCTCACTGCAAGCTCCACCTCCTGGGTTCACACCATTCTCCTGCCTCAGCCTCCCGAGTAGCTGGGACTACAGGCACCCACCACCACACCTGGCTAATTTTTTGTATTTTTAGTAGAGACGGGGTTTTACCATTCACAGGATTGTCTCGATCTCCTGACCTTGTGATCCACCTGCCTCGGCCTCCCAAAGTGCTGGGATTACAGGGGTGAGCCACCACACCCAGCCAAGACTTCCTCTTGTTGATCCTTGATAGCCAAACCCTCCTCCCTTTTGTCTGCCTCACCCCTTATCATCCCTGACTTTTGACAACCACTAATCTGTTCTTCATTTCTATAATCATATTTCAAGAAAGTTGTATAAATGGAACCATAGAGCATGTGACCTTTTAAGATTGCCTTTTTTTTCCCCACTCAGTGTAATTCCCCAGAGATTCATCGAAGTTATTGTGTGCATAAATAATTTGTTCATTTTCTTTGCTGAGGAGAATTCCACAGTATGCATGTACTACAATTTGTTTAAGCATTCACCCATTGAAAGAAATATATTTTATTGCTTCAAAGCTGGCAAGGATGGAATCGCATTACTGGGTACATACCCAAAGGAATATAAATCATTCTATTATAAAGATACATGCACATGTATGTTCATTGCAGCACTATTCACAATAGCAAAGACATGGAATCAACCTAAATGCCCATCAATGATAGACTGGATAAGGAAAATATGGTACAAATACACCATGGAATACTATGCAGCCATAAAATGGAATGAAATCATCTCCTTTGCAGGGACATGGATGGAGCTAGAGGCCATTATCCCCAGCAAACTAACACAAGAACAGAAAACCAAATACCCCATGTTCTCACTTATAAGTGGGAGCAGAATGATGAGAACAAGTGAACACAAGGTGGGGAATAACACATATTGGGGCCTGTCAGAGGGTTGACATGGGTGAGGGAGGGCATCAGGAAGAATAGCTAATGGATGCTGGGCTTAATACCTAGGTGATGGGATGATCTGTGCAGCAAATCACCATGGCACACATGTTTACTGTGTAACAAACCCTGGGAGTATAAATTAGTTCAACCATTATGGAAGACAATGTGGCGATTCCTCAAAGACCTAAAGACAGAAATTCCGTTTGACCCAGCAATCCCATTACTGGGTATATACCCAAATGAATATAAAACATTCTATTATAAAAACAGATGCACACATATGTCTATTACAGCATTTTTATAATAGCAAAGACATGGAATCAACCTAAATGCCCATCAATGATACAGTGGGTAAAGAAAATGTTGTACATATACACCATGGAATATTATGCAGCCATATAAAAAAACAAGATCATGTCATTTGCAGGGATATGGATGGAGCTAAAGGCCATTAACTTTAGCAAACCAACACAGAAACAGAAACCCAAATACATGTTTTTGTTTATAAATTGGAGCTAAATTATGAGAACACATGGAAACATAGAGGAGAACAACACACACTGGAGTCTATTAGATGGTGGAGGGTGGGAGGAGAGGAGGTTCAGAAAAAATAAGTAATGGGTACTAGGCTTAATACCTGGGTGATGAAATAATCTGTACAACAAACCCCCATGACACATGTTTACCTATGTAACAAACCTGCACCTGTAACCAGAACTTAAAATAAAAGTTAAACAAAAAAAGAAGAGAAAGAAAAGAAGAAAGACATCTAGATTGATTTTAGTGTTGGGTTATAATGAATAAAGCAGAAATAAACATTAATGTACAGGTATTTGTGTGAACATAAGTCTTCATTTCTTTGGGGTAAATGCTCTGGAGTGCAATTACTGAGTAACATAGTACTTGCAAAATTAGTTTGAAAGAAACTGCCATATTCCTTACCAGTGACTGTACCATACTACATTTATGCCAGCCATATATGAATGGTCCAGTTTCTCTGCATCTTTGCTAGCACTTGGTGGTGTCATTATTTTCTATTTTAACCTTTATGATAGGTCTGTAGAGATATCTCATTGTGGTTCTAATTTACATTTTCCTAATGGGAAATTATGCTGAATATATTTTCATGTACTTATCTGCCATCTGATTATTCTCTTTAGTAAAATGTCTGTATGTATTTTGTCAATTTTCTATTTGATTGTTTTTTCACTGTTGGCTTATGAAGGTTTTGATAAGGGGCTTTTTTCTTACAAATTCCAGATACAAATCTTTGATAGATACGTGGATTGCAAATATTGTGTCTCAATTTGTAGTTTGTATTGTCATCCCTTCAAGAGTCTTTTTTTGTAAAGCAATAATGTAGGAAAGTTCCTTGCTAGCCTGTAAGAATGCCATTCATTTTGTGTTTTGATCTTGTGTCCTGCAACCTGATGAAAACTGGAAAGAGTTTTTAAAAAAAAAATTATTAACACTTTCTATGTAGATGATCATACCATCTTCAAATAGGGACGGTATATTAGCTCTAATAGATTTTGCTGAATTTCTCAGGATTTTCTATATACAAGATCATGTCATCGCCATGAAGAGTTTTGTCTTCCTTTCCAATATGGATGTCTTTTACTTCTTACTTCTTGTTTTATTGCAGTGGTTAAAAATTCCAGTAGTATGTTGAACAAGAGTGGCAAAAGTGGACGTCATGTTCTTCCTGATCTTAGGGGGAAAAAGCACTAGATTTTTCACCATTAAATATCATGTAACCTGTAGATGTTTTTTAGATACTCTTTATCAAGTTGAAGAAGTTCCCTTGGTATTCCTAGTTTTCTAAGAATTCTTATCATAAGTGGGTATTAGGTGTTGTCAAATGCTTTTTGTGCGTCAACTGATATAATAATATAATATTCTTTCATAACCTATTTATTACGTGGACAGCTTTTCATATTTTGAAACAGTCTTGACACTTAGAATAAATTCCTTTTGGTTACAGTGTATAAATATTTTGTAAATTACTGTGTTCAATTTGGTAAATTTTTATTGAAGATTTTGCGTTTATATTTATAACAGATATTGGTCTGTAGTTTTCTTCTTCTTTATACTTTCTTTGTTTGATTTTGGTAGCGGGGTAATAATGGCCTCATAAAGTCAGCGAGAAAATGTTCCCTCCTCTTCTATTTTCTAGAAGATATTCTATACAATTACCAATTAATGTCATGCCTGGTGATGTTTGATTCATAGCTGTGGAAGTTGTAGCAACTACACTTGGCTTCACGACCTTAGAAACAGCAAGAGCCGGCTGGGCGCGGTGGCTCACGCCTGTAATCCCAGCACTTTGGGAGGCCGAGGCAGGCGGATCACTAGGTCAGGAGATCGAGACCATCCTGGCTAACACAGTGAAACCCCGCCTCTACTAAAAATACAAAAAATTAGCTGGGCGTGGTGGTGGGCACCTGTAGTCCCAGCTACTTGGGAGGCTGAGGCAGGAGAGTGGCATGAACCCAGGAGGCGGAGCTTGCAATGAGCTGAGATGGTGCCATTGCACTCCAGCCTGGGCGACAGAGGGAGACTCTGTCTCAAAAAAAAAAAAAAAAAAAAAAAAAGAGAAAGAAAGAAAAAAGAAAGAAACAGCAAGAGCCATTGCTAAGGCTATGCCAGACAAATTCATGGCTTTGGGATAATGCTTGAACTGAGTGTGTAACACGTGGTTTGTAAGGTTTTAACTGATTTGATCTCTGCCTTTTTCTTGACCCTCATTACAACTATTCACCTCACACAGTATACTTTGGCTACATGGTTCCTCAAAGTAGTAAAGTTTTTAACTTCTTTAGAATATTTGCATTTCTTTTTTTCTCTGCATAAAATATTTGCCAAATATGTGCAAGTCTAGCTCCTTTTGGTCTCTAACAACTCAGCTCACCTATCACCTCCTTAGAGATCATCTCTGATTCTATTAATAAAAAGAGATTACAGGTAACTCTCCAGAACGTTGCCTTGGTTTGTTTTATCTGAAGCACTTATCACAATCTTGTTTACTTACTTGTTTACTTATTTATGTTTTTTCTTTCCAACTCTAGAACATAACTGCATGTAAGTAGTGATATGATTTTTCTTGTTTACTGCTGCATTTATACTACCTATAATGGATCTGGCACATTATAATTATTCTCATAGACGTCTTTATTTTAAAATATTAGTAACGTATTTCCTAATGGACATGTGATGAGCAACTTAGATTTCCCTTCAAGACCATGACACTCAGGCTTTCAGCTGCTGGGCTTTCTCTGTGTCCCTCTCTGGGAATTGCCCTCTGCTAAAAGAAGATACCTCACCAAAGTCATGTCCCTTCCTTAGAGGTAGTTTGCATCTTCTCACAGGTCAATGCAGGAATGAAAAGGCCTCGCTCTATTGCCTCAGTGCCACACATTTCTGAGGGGCCACACCAAGCTCAGAGCTGCTTTTAAGATGCGCTGAGGCCTCTGTTATAAAAGCATTGCAGTTTTATTTCGCCTTCTACCCAGTCCTGCTTCCTTCAGGGCCTTACAGGGTTGGTTCCAAGAGCTCTCCTCAACAATCTTTTGAATGCAAATTTCTATCTCAGACACTGTTTCCTAGGGTACTTGAGATAAAGCAGCTACTTCAGAAATATTTCTCAAATCTAACCTTTTCATCCAACTACCACTGACATATTATCAGCCTTATTACTTACTATTTGGATTATTTCAACAGTCTTCTTTCGCATCTCTTGTCTACCAGTTTTTGTTTGTTTGTTTGTTTGTTTGTTTTTGAGACGGAGTCTCGCTCTGTCGCCCAGGCCGGACTGCGGACTGCAGTGGCGCAATCTCGGCTCACTGCAAGCTCCGCCTCCCGGGTTCACGCCATTCTCCTGCCTCAGCCTCCCGAGTAGCTGGGACTACAGGCGCCCGCCACCGCGCCCGGCTAATTTTTTGTATTTTTAGTAGAGACGGGGTTTCACCTTGTTAGCCAGGATGGTCTCGATCTCCTGACCTCATGATCCACCCGCCTCGGCCTCCCAAAGTGCTGGGATTACAGGCGTGAGCCACCGCGCCCGGCCTGTCTACCAGTTTTAAAATTCTTAGTCCTCAATCCCTTAAACTTTATTGAGTCATGGCTCCCTCTGGAAATCTGATAAAGTTTTGTCTTCTTCCTCTATCCCCATCAAATACATGTAATTTTGCACCTATATACAAATTGTTGCATATAATTTTCATCGGCTAGGACTTCTTGAAACTCATCTATAGAACCTAGTTGAAGAAGTTCTGTTTGAAAGGCTTAATTGGAACAACTGAGTAGGCAAAATATATAATTATTTACACACTTATTTTTTTAAGAAAAAATAGAATATAATTTTTATATATCTTTATTTGCTCTTACAAACTCTTACAGGCTCTTTCTCTTTGAAGGGGTTTGGTTGTACAGTAGTAGTTCTAATATGAAGTAGTAAGTAGTTCTTACTTCACATGAGTAAGTAATTTGTCCCCATTAATTTTGTATAATATAAAATGAAGAGAATTTTTTGAATGCAAATGGACTACTAATATGCATCATTTTAAATTGCTGATTAAATTAGCTAAAATCAAGAGAGTCACGATAAACAGCAAGCCACATGTGCTTTCCAGAAATGTGAATGCAGAATAATTTATCTACTAAAGTTAAAATAATGATATTTAAAACACTGAAATATATGTCTGATTGACTCATGGTCATTAACTCGATACAAATGAAAATCTTCTAATTATTTTATAATGATATTGAGGCTCAATTTGTTATTTTTCTATGCAGAGGAATGTTTTAGATGACGAATTGCATTACAAAATCATTCATTTCATTACACACAGTCATTACAAAACACTTTTTTTAACATTCTGTGAAATTTTATAGGTAATGCAGATGTTTATAACTTCATGTTTATTCAGCATTTTTTAGGTATCAGGCAGTTTGTTACATACTTTAAATCGATTAGTCCATTTAACCTTCAAAACTACCTTAAAAATGATTTTGAACCCCATATTTCAAATGAAGAAAGACAGAGCAAGCTTGTCTCACCCAGGGCCTGCTGGCTGCATGCAGCTCAGGGCAGCTTTGAATGTGGCCCAACACAAATTCGTAAACTTTCTTAAAATACTTTTTTTAGCTCGTAAGCTATCATTAGTGTTAGTGTATTTTATGTGTGGCCCAAGACAATTCTTCTTTCAGTTTGGCCCAGGGAAGCCAAAAAACTGGACACCCCTGACTTAGAGGTTCTGTCATTAGCGCAAGGTCACACAGGTAGTGAGTGAAGAACCAAGACTCAAACTCATGACTAGTGTATCTGTATAATGTAAAAATTCCTTTAAAAGGATCTATATTTAAATTCATCCCCACTAGTGTAATATATATTTCTATTATCCCTATATTAGATAACTATTGCTGTATAGAAAACCACCTCAAAAATTAATGGCTTAAAACAATAATCATTCATTTGCTTGCAACTCTGTGGGCAAGCAATTTGAGCTAGTCTCAGCCAGGATGGTTCATCTCTACTCTGTGAGGTGTTGGCTGGGGTCAGTGTTCAGTCTAAGGCCACAGTTTGCATAGATGGAAAGCCTGGGATTACCAGTCCGCTCTCACTACATGATCTCTCATCTCCCAACAGACTAACGTGGTCTTAGTCAAATGGTGACAGCATTTCTAGGAGAGAATGGAGCTATTAGGCCTCCTGAGGCCTAAGTTTAGAAAATGCACCACATCAATTCTGTTTCATTCGGTTGGTCAAAGCAAGTCAAAAAGCCAGTCCAGGTACACAGACTTTAAAACTAGATTCCATCTTTTGATAAAGGGAGATGAAACTAATTTTTGATAATTTGAGATTTTTTCTATTCCCATTAATAGTAATAATAAAGGCCTATTGTTTAATAATTACTTAATTGTTATTATTTACTAACTACTATATCATATTTAATGTAGTAATCAAAATAAAGATTCTTGAAATTATCAAGATAAAAGTGAAAATACTGAAAAAGTGGTATTATTATTGGTAAATTAATACGGTAGATTCAAATGTAGTTAGTTTGTTTGGTAGAAGCAATAGAGGTTCTTTAGAATATACTGTAAAGTAAAATTCTTTTTTAAGTTTAGTGTCTTATTTTTGAAGCAACTCAAGAACATACATCTTTTGACTTTTTATTAATATATAAGTAGTTTCTAATAGTTTAAAAGAGCCATAGAATTTAAATTTATCACTGTTTTCTGATAAAATCAAAGTTATTTAAAAATATTTTATCTTTGGAATACCTAAATGAATACATTGAAACATTCAGATAACAGAAGCAGAAAGATTCAACAACTGATGCAATTATCTTGTCAACAAGTTACAGAAAATTATGCCTCTAGCTAAACACATTAATGCTTGGAAATTCATTTTTCTTTTAAAACTTTCTAGTAGGTTAAAAATAGTGGTTGATGAAAATGTATTAAAAGAAATATAATTCATAATTATTTGCAGAATTATAAAATGGTTAAAATGTTAGTGCAAAAATATTATCAGCCTTTATTTTTGTTTTAGAATAATTTTCTCCTAAAATAAATGAAAACATTAGGTACTAAGTACTTTAGCAGTTGGCAAGGCAATATTGCTTTGTGTGTTTTCCAATGATTAAGACTAATCATTCAGACGATTTCTATTAGAATTTCTCTTTCTGTGTTAAAAAAGAACTTTGTTTATAAAGTCAAATACTGAGCTTTCTTTTCAACCTGAGTATTGACTTATTCCTTTGTCTAATGGAGAGCAGTAACTTCTACATTCCAGGAAGAATACCAAGCATAGGATACCCAAACTGATAAACTGCTGTACTCTTCTTTATTTATTGACTGCCAAAGTCCAGTTAAGATCCAATTAAAGCCCAAGATAAAAGAAGAGGAAAAATTAACAATAGATCAGCAAACACACAAAACTTCTTGTGGAATAAAAGGAGAAATATTTGGTTCCAGAATCATGAGCTTAACTCTTCCTGAAAAATATACAAGGTACCTTCCCACCTCACCTAATGAATAGGTTTTACTCTATAGAATGATTATTTCCTAAGCTCGATTAACATTGTTGATTTCTGACTAAAATCATCCATGCCCACAATACACATCCTCTCAGGTGGCAGACACCCTGATAATTTACCTTGTTTTTTGCTATCTTGTATAGTTGGCATGAAGGACATGAGAGGGCTAAATAAAGACTTGATGTAAACATTTTTTTTCAGGGAATATAGCTTACCAAAAACCGTCAGACATTTTCCAAACTTGGTCGTGATAACAATCATAGTAAATGTAATGCAATTAACACTCATAGAATACCAGGCCTATAAAATTACATTTGCTTTAATGTTTACAGCTCTGTCTCTTATACATTACTATTTCTATTCCCCAGGCAAGTAAATTGAGCTTCCAAGAATTTAGTGGGGGATAGAGATAAGATTTAATTAATTCTTTTTCAAAACTTAGGAGTTCCGTGAACAGTAAATGAGATCAGAGTCTAGGAGATCTGAATTCACAAGGGGGCTTTATCAATAGAAAACATCATAAAGCAGGCTATGCCTATTCATACTGACCTAAGTCTCAAAAGGGAATTGAGTTAAATGTAAACTCCATACCTCACTGAGTTCTCAAAACTGACCAGCACACCGTCTAATTTTGAATGCACATTTCTATGTATGTCTTTGTGTGCATATGTTGATTTCTTCTGATGGAGCAAAGTATTTCATTATCTAGGTCTGAAGCATGCACAAAGAAAATGAAATGACTGGGATAAGAATCAGATCATATTTTTAAATTTGAATTCATTTAAGTTAATTAAAGATGTCATATCTTCATATGAATTGGATTTAATTCATGTATTGAGTTCAAACAGTTTCTTAAGGGAAAAAATTATTTCCTGAAGTATTCAGATAATAGTAGCAAAGGTCTTTTAAAAGTTATAGTGATCTAATTTTTTGTGTTCACTGTTGTTTACATACATTAGTATATATTAAACTTAGGCACACAAATCCACCTATAAAGTATTATTTTATAACTTTTCTCAACACATATAATTCTTGATGCTGACTTTGCATGTAGAACTTGCTTCGATATTAGTTATACTTTGATATTTTAAATGTCAGCAGTTCATCTTTGATGAGCAGCTTAACAATTCTAAAATAGCATGTATATTCATTTAATAAAGGAGAACCAGTTTTCAAACTCGTGTCAACATTTTATTCTACTGCATACAAAGTGTCTATTGTTAAAAATGGTGAGTTGAAAATCAGCTAGCTGGTGCCTTTTCAAACCCATAATGTCCTAGTAAATTTGACTGTAATATATTTAAGCTACTAAAGACTCACTTATACCCAAACATGAAAAGAATATTAATGTAGCACTGGAAGTCTGAATATGAGCATCAGAATGATGTTCTTTTCCTGTAGACATTATATCATATTAACAGATGGCTTGCTTTTTTGCAAAGGAGATTTTTTTTACTGCTACAAAAAACACTCATGGTATAACTGAAAAGACAGTTGGGCAGGGAGTGAGAAGATTGGGTTTTAGTCTAAGCTTTTTTATAATTCCACTTACATGACCTGAGATAAGTCAGTTTTAGAAACTGAAAAAATTTTTTAGAAGTTTATGTTAACACTGTGGATATTAAAGAGGAAATTTGAAATAGGCCTTTAGTATCAACCTTAAAGAAGAGGAAGAGAGGACCACAAAATACCACTTTCTTTAAAGTACCATTAGAGGATCACAACCCATTAGAGAATTTTTAAATAAATTAAGTGGACCAAAGCATTTTTAAAGAAATAATTAAGAATACAGTAGAGTAGAAAATATTTGTGTCTCACAGATAGCAAGTGTACATACTCTGTGAGAGTTCTCTTTCCGTTATATAAATGTCTTGTGGTTTGCCATTAAATATTAGATCAACTTTTCCCCAAATAAACTTAGTTTAAGTATTGAGACACCAAGAGGATATAGGAAAAGGCATATCATTAACATAAAGAGGCTTCCTATGAAGAGTAAGGAAGACACAAAAGTTGGTTCAAATGATTTGAGTGAAGGGATGGGGCCAGTGGCTTTATTTTTTATTATGATTTGGAAGTGGGGCTGGCTGGAGTGAGGGTTTTTAGAGTTTGAGTGATTCGCACTTCTCTCTGGCACCAAAAAAGTGAACTAGAGAATGTACATGTTGTTTCATTAATTTTCTCAGCTTTGAGAAAAAGAGGACAATGGAGTGGTTGAGCTTTGAAGCTTTCATGGTCAAACATCAAAAACGAATTCAGAATCTTTGTTATGAGAGATATGCATGTGTATAACTGGTCACTTCTTGAGAAGGGCTATCAAAAAAATTAAAGTTTCTATCCTCATGCAGTTTTACCACTTAAAATTGAGGAAAATTAGGCTAAACACATTTCAAAATATTAGAAATCTGGAAGTTATCTTGTGAGGGAAGAGTTCCAGTTTATGTGGTTTCTATCTACTTATTTATCCCCAGTGCAAGGGGACTTCTGCAAGTGGAAAGAGACCTTCTTTGCTAATAGATATATAGGTTGTACTTATACAAGAGTCATGGTGTGTTAGCCATCACTCGAATTACAATCGATAATCTGAAACTATGTCCATTGGTAGGCCTGTAGGAGTATTCTATCCACTAGTATCACAGGACAGTCGACCTATCAGAGAATATGTCAATATCTCTCAACGAGGCATTAGAGTCTCCTTAGAAATTTATACTCCTAGCCCTGGTGGATATCATTTTCCAGAAATATATTCCTGACTTGGAGCAACCCCAGCTGTTTTTGCACCTCACTCGTGCCCGTGGATGACTGCTTTGAAGTAAGTGGTATTTTGTGGCCCTTTCTTTCTTCATTTTTCTTAAAGTTAATACTGAATACATATTTCAAATTTCCCCTTTAATATTCACAGAATTAATATAAACAACCCATATCTCAGACTTTTAACATTATTGTGTAATACGCCTTACCATGTAAGTTATAATTTTACTGATAAAATCATAATGTTTTATTTCTAATTTCTCTGTTCTATGAATGGTTTAAAAGATTCTCCTTGCTAAAATATTTCTGTACCCTAACTTATTGTATCCCAAATATTAACTAAGGATTCATTGACCAGTAAAATCTAGTTAGAATGAACTTGAATCCCTTTTCAGGTCTTATGAAAGTGTCAAACTATTTCCAGGAGTTCCATGAATTCCTAGAAAACCTAGGTTCTCATAGTCATCAAAGCCCTAGGTTTCTACTTCTGCTGAATTACTTCCATTTATAGATAATTTCTCAAAGCTATATTTTTCCCATTCCTGTTTTGCCTTGCATTATATGAAGAAAGAAACAATTTGTGTGTGTGTGTGTGTGTGTGTGTGTGTGGTGTGTGTGTGTGTGTGTGTGTGTGTGTGGAGTCAGAGTCCCACTCTGTCATTCAGGATGGAGTGCTGTGCCATGATTATAGCTCACTGCAGCCTCAAACACCAGGACTAAAGTGATTCTCCTACCTCAGCCTGCTAATTAGCTGGCAGTACAGGTGCATGTCACCATGCCTGGCTAATTGTTTTTGTAGAAATGGGGTCTTAGTATGTTGTCCAGACTGGTCTTGCATTCATGGCCTCAAGCCCTCCTCCTGCCTTAGCCTCCCAAAGTGCTGCAGTTACAGGTATGAGCCACCTTGCCTGGTGTGATTAGCATGATTTACTTAAATTTTTTAATTTTAATTTTAGTTGGTACACAGTAGGTATGTATATATATGGGGTAAATATATATATATATATATATATATATATATATATATAGAGAGAGAGAGAGAGAGAGAGAGAGAGAGAGAGATGTTTTGATACAGGAATGCAATGCATAATAATCATGTCATGTGAAATGGGGTATCTATACCTCAAGCATTTATCCTTCATATTGCAAATAATCCAATTATACTATGCAAGTTATTTTTAAATGTAAAATTAAATTATTATATGGTTTGTGGAAAAGTGTTTTTTTCAAATGTATTAAAACATTGCAAATATATATTAGTATTATCATTAACTAAATTCCATGATTTATTCAGGTTTCTTTGGTTTATTTTCCAGAGTTCCATCCTGGATACATCCTAAATTTAGTCATCATGTCTCCTTAGGATCTTCTGGAATATAACAGTTTCTCAGATTCACTTTGGTTTTTTATAACCTTAACAGCTTTAAGGCATACTGGCCAGGTGTTTTGTAGAATTTCCCTTGATTTTGGGGTGTCTTCTGTTTATCTCATAGTTAGATTGTGGTTATGAGTTTTGGGAGGTAAAGTGCTATTTTAATCATATGATATCAAGGGTAAATCCTACCAACATGACTTAATACTGATGATGCTAACCTTGATCAACAGTTGAGGTAGTTTTTGAAAATTTCTCCACTATAAAGTTATTTTTCCCTCCTTTCTTTTCCAGTCAGAAAGCCAGTTCCACACTTTAAGGGAAGGGGAGTTATGCTCCACTTCCTTGAAGTGTATTTTATTGCTTAAATTACCCCAACTTTGGCCATTAGGAGCTCTTTCGGTTGGTTCTGGTGTCTCCTTGACAAATCTTCATCATTGTGGGCTTGATTTTTTTTAATCTCTCTCATTTTCCTGCCCTATAAACTTCTCCAGGCCAATCCTATATATTTTCTGCCTCAGGCCCTAGTTCCATCCTCTTCTCCAAGGATCCTCAGTTCTTTTTGTTGAAGAATGGAATTAGACAACAACTCCTGGGCACTAGATGTGTTTGTTGTTACTGGCATCTCATTGTTTCTAAGGCCTTTCAACAGATAGTGCTAATATATACTAACCCCAGTATATACACAGGTTTATAATTCCATATATATATATATATATATATATATATATATATATATCTATATATATATCTACACACACACACAAATGTATTTATATTGAAATAAAAATGAATTGATACTTATATCTCCAACTCTAATCAGTACTAAAAGGTTCATTCTGGCCTCTCTCCTTGCTTATCTGTAATCTCTAACTACCACAGTGAAAAAACCTAGTCCCCACCATCCATGAATCATTTTTCTTATTTGTTCAATTTTATTATACCCACATAGGTATAATAAGAGTACAGTGCTCATGTATCACTTCTTTGTCTTTAGTCTTATAGATTCTATTCATTTCCAAAACTATTCAGGTCAGCATCTCTATCCCCTTCCTTGTTTCAGTGAGGTTATATTATACATTTATAATACAGTTAGGTTCTGTTGTCATAATCTACATTTTATTCTTGGATACCCTTCCCTTCTAGTTGATGTTTTAAAATTTCCATACTTAAAGGTTTATTCTTCTGTTGTAAAGTTCTGTGGATTTGACAAAGGTGTAGTGTAATATATTCACCACTGGAGTACCATATGAAACTGTTTCACCATCCTGAAAAAAAAAAAATTTCCTGTGTGTCATCTAGACCCCCATTCCCTTTCTCAAACCCTTGACAATTCTTGATCTGTTTACCATCTTTACTGTTTATTATTTTCCAGATTGTTATATAAATGGAATCATGCAGTATGTAGCCTCCTCATACTGGCTTCTTTCAATTAGCAAGAGACATTTAAAATTTATCCATATTGGCAAGTGAATTAATAGCTTTTTCCTTTTAATCAATGAAAATAGTATTATATACTATCGATGTATAAGTTTATTTATCTGCTCATCTATTGATGACATCTTTGTTGCTCCTAGTTTTTAGTGATCATGAATAAAAACTATAAGCATTCACATGCAGGGTTTTCTATGGACATAAATTTTCAAATCACTTGTGTAAATACCTAAGAGTTTAATTGCTGAATGGTATAGTAAGGCTATGATTAATTTTGAAGAAACTGCCAAACTGTCTTACAAAGTAGCTGTACCATTTGCATTCCTACCAGGAATGAATGAGAGTTCTTGTTGTTCCACATCCTTGATAAAACTCGGTATAGTTAGACATTTTGTATTTTAGTCATTTTAACAGGTGTTTAGTGATATCTCATTCTTGTAATTTGCATTTTCCTAATGGAAAATAATGTTAAGCATCTTTCTATGTCTTTACTTACTATCTATAAATCTTCTTTTGTGAGGTTTAAAATTATTTTCTCAGGTCTTAGAGGAAAGACTTTAAGGTTTTCCTATTTTTAAATGGGTTGTTTTCCAATCGTTGACTTTTACGAGTTCATTGTATATTTTGGATACAATTTCTTTATCAGATATGTATCTTCCAAATATTTTCTCCCAGTCTGTGATTTTTCCTTCCACCTGAGGAGAGGAGAGGGAAGAGTGGTGAGGATATTGTATCATGGATACCAACTCAGGCACAGCAGGATAGAAAACCAGTCAGAATCATAAAGTCCTCTTTCCAGGCTTCCAACTAACATTTCTAGACATACCCTGGGCCAGAAGGGAACTTGCTTCCTTGAAGAAAAAAAAATACAGTCCTGGAAGGATTAATCATCTGCTTACTGAAGAGGTTTTGGCCTTGAATTACTAGCAGTGATACAAAGGTATGACATTCAGGGCCTTGGGTGGGACTCTGAGACTTGCTGACTTCAAGTAACAGCTCAGCCGTGGGGAGGGTAGAGTAACAAGTGAACCCTTGAGATTGGCAATTTCAGGACTTGGCTCTTGGATGGAATTTCCGGAGATTCCCTGGGCCAGAGGGGAGACCACTTCCCTGAAAGGTAAGTCCCAGGCCAGATAGCATCCACCACAAGCTGACTGAAGAGCCCTTGGGCATTGAGGGAACATTCATGGTAGTCTGGCTGTACTCCCCATGGGCCTGTTGTAGCAGTGATCACAGAGTGAGGTGCCTCTGCCTTTAGAAAGGGTAGGGAAGAGTGGAAAGGACTGCATATTGTGATTTGAGTGCCACCTCAGCCACAGTACAATACAATACCAGGTAGACTTCTAAGGTATTTTACTCTTGCTGTTAGGAGTTGCCTCCTAAACAGCAACTCTGGACCCTGCAAGAGCTTGGAGGAACTCACTGTCCCAAAAGAAAAGAGACAGAACTTACTGGCTTTGTGTACTGCTGATTATAGAGTCCCAAGGCTTAGAACAAACATAAGCAGTAGAGTGGTTATAGGAGGCCTTTGATGAGACAGAGTGCTATGCTGGCTTCAGATCTGACCCAGTGCAGTTTTAGTGGTGGTGGCCATGGGGTGCTTGTGTCACTCTACCTCAAGCCTCAGGTAGCTCAGAAAAGAGAGAGACTCCATTTGCTTGAGAGACAGAGAAGAGAACAAGAGTCTCTGCCTGGTAATCCAGAGAATTGTCTCAGATCTTGCCCAAGACCATCAAGAGGATACCTCTGAAATTCTGGAAGAACTACAGTGTTAATAGGCTTGGGGCACACCTTAAAGCAGATACAGCTTAGATAAAAACACCCAAGTCCTTCCTAATATCTGAAAAGCCTTCCCAAGAAGGATGAGTACAAACAATCCCAGACGGGGAAGACTACAATTACCTAAGTCTTCAACGTCCAGATACAAATGAAGATCTATAAGTATCAAGATAACCTAGGAAAACATGACCTCATCATATGAAAGAAATAAGGCACTAAGAACTAATCCTGGAAAAACACTAATATGTGAACTTTGAGACAGAGAATTTAAAATAGCAGTTTTAAGGAAATGCAAAGATATTCAATATAATACAAAGAAAGAATTCAGAATTACATCAGAAAAATTTAACAAAGGGATTAAAATGATTACAAAGACTCAGGAAGAAACCCTGGAGCAAAAGAAATGCAATTGGAATACTGCAGAATGCATTAGATTTTTTTTTTTTTTTTTTGAGACGGAGTTTTACTCTTGTTCCCCAGGCTGGAGAGCAATGGCATGATCTCGGCTCACCGCAACCTCTGCCTCCTGGGTTCCAGCGATTCTCCTGCCTCAACCCTCCCAGTAGCTGGGATTACAGGCATGTGCCACCACGCCTGGCTAATTTTGTATTTTTAGTAGAGATGGGCTTTCTCCATGTTGGTCAGGCTGGTCTTGAACTCCTGACCTCAGGTGATCAGCCCGCCTCAACCTCTCAAAGTGCTGAGATTACAGGCATGAGCCACCGTGCCCAGCAGCATCAGATACTTTTAATAGCAGAATTCATCAATCAGAAGAATTAGTGAGCTTGAAGACATGCTATTTGAAAATACACAGAGGAGAGAAAAGAAAAAATAATAAAAATCAATGAAGCATGCCTGTAGGACCTAAAAAATGACCTCAAAAGAGCAAATCTAAGAGTCCTTGTTCTTACAGAGGAGGTAGAGAGAGAAACAGGTAAGAGTACAAAGTTTACTTAAAGGAATACAGCAGAGAACTTCCCAAATCTAGAAAAAATTAATATCAAAGTGCAAGAAGGTTACAGAACATCAAGCATATTTAGCACAAAGACTATATCAAAACATTTAATAACCAAACCCCTGAAGTTCAAGAATAGAGAAAATATCTTAAACACAGCAAGAGAAAAGAAATAACATACAATGGACATTAAATAATCAAACTTCCAAAAGTTTGCTCTTGCTAAAAGCAACAAGAGAAAAAAAAACTACAAATAACAAGCACGGAGCTTTAAAATGTCTAACAGCAGACTTTTTACTGGAAACTTTACAGGCTAGGAGAAAGTGCAATGACCTATGTAAAGTGCCGAAGGGAAAAAACAAACAAACAAACTTCTACCCTAGAATCACATATCTGGTGAAAATATCCTTTGAACATGAAGGAGAAATAAAGACTTTGTCAGACAATCAAAAGCTGAGGGATTTCATCAACACTAGACTTGTCCTAAAAGAAATGGTAAAGGGAGGCTGGGTGCGGTGGCTCATGCCTGTAATCCCAGCACTTTGGGAGGCCAAGGCGGGTGGATCATGAGGCCAGGAGATCGAGACTATCCTGGCTAACATGGTGAAACCCCGTCTTTACTAAAAATACAAAAAATTAGGGTGTGGTGGTGGGCGCCTGTAGTCCTAGCTACTGGGGAGGCTGAAGCAGGAGAATGGCGTGAACCCAGGAAGCGGAGCTTGCAGTGAGCTGAAATTGCACCACTGCACTCCAGCCTGGGCGACAGAGCAAGACTCTGTCTCAAAAAAAAAAAAAAAAAAAAAAAAAAAAAAAAGAAACAGTAAAGGGAGTACTTCAATCAAAAATAAAAGGATGTTAATGAGCAATAAGTAATCACATGCAAGTACAAAACTCTCTGATGATAGTAAGTACACAGAGAAACAGAATATTATAACACAGTAATTGTGGTGTTTTAATTACTCTTTTGCTAAGTAGAAAACTAAACAATGAACCAATGAAAAATAATAACTACAACAACTTTTCAATATACAAACATGAAGTTTGTATAATTTATAAATAGAAACAACAAAAAGTTAAAAAAAATGGGTGGACAAAGTTAAGATGTAGTCATTTTGTTAGTTTTATTTTTGCTTTTTTGTTTTTATGAACTAGTTATTAGGTTAAAATAATGGGTTATAAGATAGTATTTGCAAGTCTCCTGGTAACCTCAAACCAAAAACTATACAAGAGATACAAAAATAAAATAAAATTCAAGAAACAAAATCTTACCACCAGAGAAAATCATTTTACCAAAAGGAAGACAGAAATGAAAGAAGGAAGAGAAGACCAGGAAACAAACAGAAAACAAAAAGTGGCAGAAATTGGTCCTTACCAATAATAGCATTTAGGGTAAATAAAATAAACTCTCCAATCAAAAGACATAGACAGGCTGAATGAATTATGAAACAAGGCCAATTAATACTTTGCCTACAAGAAGGATGCTTCACCTATAAATACACACATAGATTGAAATTAAAGAGATGGAAAAAGATATCTCATGAAAATGTAAACGAAAAAAGAGCAGGAGTCACTCTACTTATATAAGACAAAACAGATTTCAATGGCTGGATGTGGTGGCTCACACCTGTAATCCTAACACTTTGCGAGGCCAAGGCGGGCAGATTGTCTGAGCTCAGAAGTTTGAGACATGCCTGGGCAACAAGGTGAGAAACCCTGTCTCTACTAAAAATAAAAAAATAGTAAAAATTCAAAATAGATTTCAAGACAAAAACTATAAGCAGCGACAAAGAAGCTCACTATATAACGAAAAAGGGGTCAATTCAGCAAGAGGATGTAACAATTGTAAATATATATGCACCCAACAATGGAGCACCCAGATACATAATGCAAATATTATTAGAGCTAAAGTGAGAGATAGGCCTCATTACCATAATGCCCCACTTTCAGTATTGGACAGATCTTTCAAACAGAAAGTCAACCAAGAAACATTGGATTTAACGTGCACTGTAGACCAATTAATATTTACAAAATTGAATACATATTTACAAAACGTTTTATCTAACAGCTGCAAAATATACATTCTTTTCTCAGCACTTAGATAATTCTGAAGAATAGACCATATGTTAGGTCACAAAGCAAGTCTTAAAACTTTCAAAACAAATTAAAATAATATCAAGCATCTTCTCTGACCACATGAAATAAAACTAGCAATTAATACCAAGAAGAATTCAGAAACTGGGCAAATAAATGGACATTTAAAAAGATGTCCCTGAATGACCAGTGGGTCAATGAAGAAAATAAGCAGAAAATAGAAAAATTTCTAGAAACAAATGATAATGAAAACACAGCATACCAAACCTTATGGGATGCAGGAAAAGCAGTACTAGGAGGGCAGTTCATAGCTATCAGTGCAAACATCAAAAAAGAAGAAAAACTTTAAGTAAATAACCTAATGATGCAGCTTAAAAAACTAGAAAAGCAAGAGCAAACCAAACCAAACCCAAAATTAGTGGAAGAAAGGAAATAATAAAGATTAAAGCAGAAATAAATGAATTTAAAATGAAGGAAACAATACAAAGCATGAATGAAACAAGAAGCTGATTTTTGGAAAAGCTAAACAAAATTGACAAACCTTTAGCCAGACAAAGACAAAAAGGTAAGATTCGAATAAAATAAGAGATGAGAAAGAAGATATTACAACTGATACTGCAGAAATTCAAAGGATAATTTGTGGCTACTATGAGCAACTATATGCCAATGAATTGGGAAATCGAGAAGAAATGCACTAATTCCTAGACACATAAAACCTACTCAGATTGAACCATAAAGAAATAAAAAATCTAAGCAGCCCAATGACATGATACAAGATAGAAGCCATAATAAGAAGTCTCTTAGTAAAGAAAAGCTTGGAACTCAATGGCTTCACTACTGAATTCTACCAAACATTTAGAAAATAATACCAATTCTACTCAAATGATTCTGAAAAATAGAGGAAGAACTACTTCTAAACTCCTTATACAAGGTCAGTATTACTCTGATACAAAAACCAAAGATACATAAAAGAAGAAAACTGTAGGCCAATATCTCTGATGAATATTGATGCAAATATCTTCAACAAAATGCTAGCAAATCAAATTCAACAATACATTAAAAAGATAGTTCATCATGACCAAGTCCAGTTTATCCCTGGAATGCAAGAATGGTTCAACACAAGCAAATCAATCAATGTGACACGTCATATGAACAGAAAGATGGACAACAACTGTATTAGCATTAATATTGATACTGAAAAAGCATTTGATAAAATTTAGCATCTCTTCATGATAAAAACTCTCAAAAAACTGGGGATAGAAGGAACATACATCAACACAATAAAAGTCATATATTATAGAACCATAGTTATGCTTCTGTAACCATAACTAATGATATGGTTTGGGTCTGTGTAGGAGAAAATTGAAAGCCTTTCCTTCAAAATTGATATGGTTTAAGTCTGAATGGGGAAAAACTGAAAGCCTTTCCTCTTAGATTGGAAACACAATAAAGACACCCACTTTCACCCTTTGTTATTAAACATAGTACTGGAACCCCTAGCTAGAGCAATCAGACAAGAGAAAGATATAAAGGACATCGAAATTGCAAAGGATGAAGTCAATTTTTTCTTGTTTGCAGATGTTATGATTTTATATTTGGAAAAACCCAAAGACTCCACAAAAACAATGATTAGAACTAATAAATTCAGTTAAGTTTCAGGATACAAAATCAATGTACAAAAATTAGTAGCATTTTTATATGCCAATGGTAAAAATTGTGAAAGAGAAAATAAAAAGTAATCCCAATTACAATAGTCACAAATAAAATTAAATACCTAGGAATTAACAGAAGATGTGAATGATCTCTATGATAATGAAAACTATAAAACACCGATGAAAGAAATTGAATAGGAAACCAAAGACATGAAAAAATATTCCATTTTCCTGGATTGGAAGAATCAATTTTATTAAAATGTCCATGCTATCCAAAAACATCTACAGATTTAAAGCAACCCCTATCAAAATACCAAATACATTCTTCAAGAAAAAGAAAACACCATCCTAAAATTTATATGCAGTCACAAAATATTCAGAATAGTCACAGCTAAGTAAGTAAAAAACAACATCAACAACAAACTAGAGGAATCAAATTGCCTGATTTCAAATTATACTACAGAGCTTATAGTAACCAAAACAGAATGGTACTGGCATAAAAACAGACACATAGATCAATGGAACAGAATAGATAACCCAGAAACAAATCTACAAACCTGCAGTAAACTAATTTTTTACAAAGGTGCCAAGACCATGTGCTAGAGAAAAGATACTCTCTTCAATAAATGTGCTGGGAAAATTGGACATCCATATGGAGAAGAAGGAAACTTGAACCCCATCTCTCATGGTATACAAAAATAAAATTAAAATAGATTAAATACTTTAAGATCTCAAACTTTGAAACTACTACAAGAAAACTTTGGAAAAATTCTCCAACACATTAGTCTGTGCAAAGATTTACTGAGTAATACACCACAAACACCAGCAACCAAAGCAAGTGTAGACAAATTGGATGACCTCAAGTTAAAAACCTTCTGCATAGCAAAGGAAATAATCAACAAAGTGAAGAGACAACCCATAGAAAGGGAAAAAATATTTGCAAACTCCCCAACTGGCAATGGATTCATAACCAGTATATATATATACTGGTTTTATACTGTATATATACATACATATATATAAAAGGAACTCAAACAGCTTTATAGGAAAATATATAATAATTCAATCAAAAATGAGTAAAAGATTTAAATAGACATTTCTCAAAAGAAGACATACAAATGGCATGCAGGCATATGAAAACGTGCTCACCATCACTGATCATCAGAAAAATGCAAATGAAAACTACAATGAGGTATCATTTCGCCCCAGGTAAAATGGCTTATATTCAAAAGACAGGCAGTAACAAATGCTGGCAAGGATGTGGAGAAAAGAGAATCCTCATACACTGTTGATTGGAATGTAAATTACCACAGCCACTATAAAGAAACAGCATGGAGGTTCCACAAAAAAACTAAAAATAGAGCTACCATATGATCCAGCAATCTTACTGCTGGGCATACATCCAAAAATAAGGAAAATCAATATGTAAAAGAGATATCTGCATTCACATGTTTGTTGCAGTACCGTTCACAATAGCCAAGATTTGGAAGCAACCTAAGTGCCATCAAAAGATTAATGGATAGTAAAATGGGGAACTTATAAAAAATGGTGCATAAAAAATGAGATTCAGGCATTTGTGAGAACATGGATGGATCTAGAGATAATTATGTTGAGTAAGACAGGCATGGAAAGAAAATCATCTCATGTTCTCACTTATTTGTGGGATTTAAAAATAAAAATAATTGAACTCATGGGCAGAGAGGGTAGAAAGATGGTTAACAGATGCTAGAAATAGTGGCTGATGGATTTGATATTAGGTGTGTGATATGGTTTGGGTCTAGGTCTCCACCCAAATCTCATGTAGATTTGTAATCCTAAAGTTGGTAGAGGGGCCTAGTGGGAGATGATTGAATCATTGGAGTCTCTTTTCTCCTTGCTGTTCTCATGACAGTGAGTGAGTTCTCATGAGATCTGGTTGTTTAAAAGTTTGTAGCACTTCCTCCTGCTCCCTCTTTCTCCCGCTTTGGCCATGTAAGACATGTCTCCTTCATCTTCACCTTCTGCCATGATTTTAAGTTCCCGGAGGCATCCCGAGCCATGCTTCCTATACAGCCTAAAGAACCATAAGCCAATTAAATCTCTTTTCTTTATAAATTACCTGGTCTCAGTTTCTTATAGCAAAGCAAGAATGGACTCACATTGCTCAATACAGAAAATCAGAGGCAGAAAGTCAGGCATTCCTATAAAGATACCTGAAAATGCAGAGGCCACTTTGGAACCTAGTAATGGGCAGAGGTTGAAACAGTTTGGAGGGCTCAGAAGAAGATAGAAAAATGAGGAAAATTTGGAACTTCCTTGAGACTTATTAAATTGTTGTGACCAAAATGCTGATAGTGATATGGACAAACAAGTCCAGGCTGAAGTGGTCTCAGATTAAGACGAGGATTATATTGGGAACTGGACTAAAAGTCATCCTTTCTATTCTTTAGCAAAGAGCCTGGAAGCATCGTGCCCCTGCTGTAGGTATCCGTGGAACTTTGAAGTTGACAGAGATGATTTATAGTATCTGGCAAAAGAAATTTCCAAGCTGCAAAGTGTTCAAGAAGTGACTGGCAGCTTCTAACAACATGTGCTCATATGCCTTAGCAATGAAATGATCTGAAACTGAAACATATATTTAAAAGGGAGGTACAATATAAAAGTTTGGAAAATTTGCAGTTTGAACAAATTGTCAGAGAGGGAAATTCATTTTCTGGGGAATAATTTAAGCCTGCTAGGGAAATTTACATAAGTAAAGAGGAGCTGAATAATAATAGCAAAGACAATGGGGAAAATACCTTGAAGGAACTTCAGAAACCTTCCTGGCAGCCCCTGCCATCTCAGGCGCAAAGGCCTAAGAGGAAACATTGGTTTTGTGGGCCAGGCCCAATGCTCTTCTGCATTGCACAACCTTGGGGCACTGCTGCCTCTATCCCAGTTCCTTCAGCTCCAGCTGTGGCTCAAAGGGCTCCAGGTACATCCAAGCCACTGCTTTAGAGGGTGCAAGCCATAAGCCTTGATGGCTTTCACGTGATGTTAAACCTGTGGGTGCACAGAGGGCAAAAGTTAAGGCTTGGAAGCCACTGCCTAGATTTCAGAGGATGTATAGAAATGCCTGGATGTCCAGGCAGAAGTCTGCTGCAGGGGCAGAGCCCTCATGGAGAACCTCTACTAGAGCAGTGTGAAGAGGAAATGTGGGATTGGAGCCCACACATAGAGTCCCCACTGGAGCACTGCCTAGTGGAGCTATGAGAAGAGGGCAACCATCTTCCAGACCTCAGAATGGTAGAACTGCCAACAGCTTGCACTGTGCACCTGAAAAAGCCACAGACACTCAATGCCAGCCCAAGAAACCAACCAAAGTGGCTTTACCCTGAAGAGCCACAGAAGTGGAGATGTCCAAGGCTTTGAGAGCCCATGCCTTGAATTAGTGTGTCCTGGATGTGAGACATGGAGTTAAAGGAGATCATTTTGGAGTTTTAAGATTTGATGATTGCCCTGCTGGGTTTCAGACTTGCATGGAACCTGTAGCCCCTTTGTTTTGGCCAATTTGTCCCTTTTGGAATAGGTGTATTTACCCAATACCTGTACCCCCATTGTATCTAGGAAGTAGCTAAGTTGCTTTTGATTTTAGAGGCTCATAGGCTGAAGGGACTTGCTTTGTCTCAGATAAGACTTTAGACTTTGGACATTTGAGTTAATGCTGGAATAAGTTAAGACTTTGGGGGACTGTTGGGAAGGCATAATTGTGTTTTGAAATGTGAGAAGGACATAAGATTTGGGGAGAACCAGGGGTGGAATGATAGGGTTTGTGCCTGTGTTCCTGTCCAAATCTCATGTCAAATTTTAATCATAATGTTGAAGGAGGGGCTGAGTGAAAGGTGATTGGATCATGGGGGTGGATATGCCCCTTGCTGTTTATTTTTTTTTATAGTGAGAGAGTTTTCACAATATCTGTCTGTTTAAAGAAGTATATCCCTGTCCTACCCCCTCCTCCTGCTTTGACAATGTATGATGTACCTCTTTCATCTTCACCTTCCACCATGATGGTAAGTTTCTGGGGGCCTTCCAAGCCATGCTTCCTGCCTGCAGAACCGTGAGCCAATTAAACCTCTTTTCTTCATAAATTACCCAGTTTCATTTTTTATAGCAATGAGAGAACGGACTAATACAATGTTACAGAAAGGCAGCAAGAATGACTTTGAAGATTTTGGCCTGAACAGATGAGTGATTAGATGTTATTTACTATGCTGTACAATGCTTCAGGGTAAGAAAGTTTTTATTGTTTTTTTTTTCTGTGTGTGTGTGTGTGTGGTGGTGGAATAACAAATTTACAATGAGACTCTCCAATCCTTCTAAAATCTTTGTATTTTCCCATATTAAATCTCATATTTTTAAACAAAAAATAATAAAAAGAGTATTTATATTCCAAAAGTGTTAAGAGAATCATATAGATCTGCTTTCCTATTAAAATACTGTATGAAAACAAAACTCTATTTACCAAATTCTGGAATGGAGATTAAAAACAAATTAAGACCTAAAAAATATACACTAAACTCATACTACATAAATATGTAAAGTATATATATTTAGGTTGGGCTCCCTAAAAGCATATGCTGGAATGGGAGATTATTTTTTAAGGACTGCTTTTAGGGGATACCTATAAGGAATTGAGGGAGGCAGGATAGGGAAATAAAAGAGGCTATGCAAAGATGTGTTTTCCAGATGAAGTCCAGCCTCAGTCTGATCCCACAGGGAAATCTGAAATGCAAATTTTACCTCACATTTGGCCCCATCATCTTTTGAGGCAAGGGAGTGAGTTTTGTTCTCCTGTTCCACTAATTAAGTGCTGATCTGGGTGGAAGACACAACTCAGTCACTTCTGCTGGAGTTGGCTCCAATCTTTCAAAGACAATCTTCCAGTTAGGGTTATAAATAAGAGTTGTTAGCAGCACAGGCAGTAGCTGTGAAAAGGTATTTCCAGGCTGTCAACAAAGGCTGCTACAAAAGCTAAAGATAATTCAGTAAAGAGAAAATATATGGAAAAAAATAACTCTACTAGAAAAAAGTTAATTAAAATGATAATGTAGTGTCTTTACTTTTCACCAATTACATTAGCATATATTTGAAAATGTTTATTTGCATTACTGAAATGTGGCAAAGCAGGTGCACTTATACATTGCTGACATCATTGTAAATTATTAGAAATATTTTGGAACTATGTATATTTGGAATCCTAGAATGCTTAATACTTCCAATCTGACAGTACAACCTATGACATTATTTATCAAACTATCATATGGATGAGGTTGTTCATCACAGTATTATTTATAGTAAGACCAATTGGAAAGCATTTGAGTCTTTAACAACATAGAGTATCACTACATAAATTTTTTTTGTACATTCACTGGACATACTATTTTTAATTATTAAAAACACAGTTTTGTAGGCTATATTGCAAAACAGAATAGTGCTTATTATACAAAATAAAATTAGAAAAAAAAACAGCCTATAAAAGCACAAGTGCACTATGATTTCCATAATATCAGTGGCTATGTTTGGGTGATTTTATTATGAGTGACTTGTTTGTGTTTCTCAAATTGTCTGTTATGTATTTCTATTTCTATGATATAAATAAGTGTATTTTGAAAGGAAACAAGAATTATCTTTTAAAAATAATATATGGTTCTTAGATGTTTAACCCCTGGGCCTATTAGTGAGCAATTAAAGATTTGTTTATAAAACTTTTCCAAAATAGGTTGCTCAAACTAGTTTTTTTATATGCTCTGTACTGAGTGATGATGAGAAATAGGATGCTTTCTAGGTTCAATTTAGTACTTGGGAGTTCTCACTTCTCTGAATGTTCACATGACTCTGTTAATGCACCTTCATTCATTTAACCATTCAAAAATACTTCCACGGGTCTACCATGTGCAATATATTGTGGTCACAGTTGAAAACATAAAACAAAATATGACGGACTTTACCTTGAGGAGCTCATAGATCAGTGGAGGAAAAACAACTAAATGGGGTAAGTGCTAGAGGAGAAATAAGACCAGATATTACTGGAACAAAGGAAAAAGAGCAAGGATGCTCAGGTGTCATGTCTTTGAATCTCTGCAATTCTATTATCCAATGTCTCTATCATTGTATGTGTCTGATATAGCAGTTCTTTCAGGAATCTCACTTGGCAACTTTCTGGGTGCATGATTCCATAAGTAAGTTTTGTAATCAGATAATATTCTAATTCTTTAACTTTATAATTTTCAGGTTAACGAGGAAATTTTTCTAATATTCTATAACTGCTACCAGGTGATTCTCTCTATTTGTGTTTCTTGAAAATACTGTTGTCTTTCTATTAATATTATCTAAAGATACATGAAATGGCATTAAAATACTGTTAGATTAATAGCAAATGAAAGACTGAGACGCAAAGAGAAGGGTAGTTTCTTTGGTTTACAAGTCATAAAAGGGCAATTCAAAATTATTTTAAAAGTAATTATTATATATGGGTTTAGAGTTAGGACGGGATGCACGGTTGGTTGAATCCAGAGATGTGTGATACTACCAGGATTGTAGCTAGGTTTTTCTTAATTCTCTTGGCTCTTCCCTTCTCTCATGTGGGCTTTATTCTCAGGCTGACTACTCTCATTGCAGTGAGGTGTCAGACAGCAGCCCCCAGGTCTACATGCTTTCTTATGAAAGATGAGGGCACCTCTCCTCCAAATAATGAACAAAAAGTCTTATGATTAGATTTTCTCAGTCACGCTGTGATATGGTTAGGCTTTGTGCCTCACCTGAATCATATCTCGAATTATAATCTCCATAATCCCCACATGTCAAGGGTGAAACCAGGTGGAGGTAATTGAATCACAGGGGCAGTTTCCCCCATGCTGTTCTTGTGATAGTGAGTGAGTTCTTATGAGATCTGATGGTTTTATGAGGGGCTCTTCCCTCTTCGCTCAGCACTTCTCCTTCCTACTGCCTTGTGAAGAAGTTGCCTTGCTTCTCCTTCACCTCCCGCCATGATTGTAAGTTTCCTGAGGCTTCCCCAGCCATGCTGAACTGTTAGTCAATTAAACCTCTTTGCTTCATAAATTACTTAGTCTCAGGCAGTTCTTTATAGCAGTATGAAAATGAACCAATACATACTGTAATCACCCAATGGGCTTACCTTCCCCACTGCTCAGATAAAGCTGATAACCAAGAAAGGGAAATTGCAATAGAGAAAGAGTTGAGCTAGCTGAGAGACCAGAGTTTTATTATTACTCAAATAATCCTCCCCCAAAATTCAAAGTTTGGTGGGCAGGGGGCTAGAAAATGGGGAATCCTGATTGGTTGGGTTGGGGATGAAATCATAGGGTGTTGAAGCTGTCCTCTTGCATTGAGTTGGTTCCTGAGGGTGGGGAGCATAAAACAAAACAACAAATGAGCCAGTTTACCATTCTGAGTGACACCAACTTATCCAACAAAATGCAAGATCTGAAAACTACCTTAAACACAAATCTTAGATTTTATAATAGTAATGTTATCTATAGGATCAATCGTGAGGTTAGGAATCTTGTGGCCTCTGGCTGCATGACTCCTGAGCCATAATTTCTAGTCTTCTGGCTAATTTGTTGGTTTTATAAAGGCAGTTTTGTCCCCAAGTAAGGAGGGCATGTGTTTTGGGTAAGGACAGTTATATTTGTTTTAAAGTTAAACTATAAACTAAATTCCTCCCAAACTTAAGTCGGCCTACACCCAGGTATGAACAAAGGAAGTTTGGAGGTTGGAGGCCAGATGGAGTTGGATAGTCCAGACCTTCTTTCACTGCCATAATTTTTTCACTGTTAAAATCTTTGCAAAGACACTTTCTATGTACCCACACTGAACAAGTAATATTGGCAAAATAAATTACTTGAAAAAATAAGTTCCCACTGTTGTTACTGGGTATAGGGTTAATCCAATCTATATTAAATAGCTATGACCAAATGGAAAGGGACAAAACAAATGATAGAGTGGTGAGCAATCTGCCCAATAGAAGCTAACCTAGTATATGATACATATTATGTGCTCAATAAATATTTGTTTTACTTTATTTAGTTTTTCTTATATAGCTAATGCTTTCAATAGTAAGGGGGAAAAATCTATACAAAGGTTTTGATAGAAGGGAAAAAAAAGATCTTCAAGGCAATGAAATTCTTTATACAATGATGCATAAATGCAAAATGTTAGTTAAAATGCTATGGCTTGATTTATAAATGTTATGTTCACCTTGTATTTTAAAGCCAATACATTTTAAGTATAGAAGAAAAAGATTCTGAAAGAAGTGTGGAAAAATGGTGGGTGGCATAGTGTTTCCTAAGTGGAACATATTTTTAACCTATTCTATCTACCATGTGTGGAAATTATATTTCTGACTAGAATTTCTCAATTTGCTTTTCAATGTATGCATTTAAGCAATATTCTTTCTACCTTTCTACATCAAATTGAGATTTGACATATTGAATTTTCTTTGTTAAGTTTTTTATATTATATAATGGTCAATAGAGTTGTGAACTCTAATGAACCATAGGAATGCCTGGCAACTCTCTGTATATGTGAGAATGTTTTTAATACCACATTATTACTCAACATCCATTTCCCTGGAGTTTCCTGCTAATTGACTCTCAAATCATTAAGAAAAGAATAGTCATTAGTTGATTGTACTTTTATTTTTTTGATATAATTGCTTAAATATGTCACATTATTTGCTTAAGGGTAAGATCAAATAAAATATTTTTTTTCACTTTTCCTGATGACCCAGTTCTGAAAACTTCAAATCTATGCAAATGTAGTATTATTTATAACAAATTCCTTTAGACAAGCACCTTCTGAAAAAGATGCAATCAATTTCAGCCTTTAGGAATTTTGAGCTGTTAGGAAGTCTGGCATAGCACTAATAAAATAGAACTACTTATAGTCAAATCTTATTTCTGATGCTGCTAAATGACAACTTACAGCTTAACATAATAGACAATTTAGCATATAAATGTTTCCCATAAAAGCAAGATGTTGGCAGTTCAAAACAGTAAATGCTAACCTTCAGGCAAGCTGTTAGTGAGGTGTTAAAGGCCCCTGAAATTGTAATGAATTAGCTTATACTAAGAATTTCCTATACCGACTATCTTTTCTGATTTTATCCATTCCTGCTCTAATGCCCAACTACGGAAGGAGAAATTCAAAAAATTCATCCTGAATAATTGAACTTTTCATTGGATTATTTTCACAAGAGATTTAATGCATTCTTTTCCCCTTAACACTTATGTTTGCACCTGTCATCTATTCTGATAACTCTCTAAGTTCTAGTGGCAGTCTATTCCCTAGGACCAAGAGGAGGAATGAATTATCTTTCTGAACTTGGAGAGCCACTTTCAGTAAAACCATAACACAGCATTTTTATAATCCAAATAGTACAAGGATGGCTGTATTTCCTCCTCATTTTTGTAAGCAGATATAGATCATGGTCACATCTACCCAGGAGAACTTTGCTAGTTGCTGTAACCCTCAGGGGAGATAAAAACGTCTTGGTAGTGAACTTCATTGAAATAGAAACCCAGTTTAAAGTAGGCTTGATCAGGTCTCCAGAAGAGATTCTTGTATGTGGATAGAAGCTCTGAAAACTCAAGGGCTTCCAAAATATAAAGAAAAAAAAAAGCCCATGCTCTCTGCAGCCATTCATACTGTTGTCTGACCTTTTCTTGTAAAATTTTTCTCTTGTTTGTCTGAGTCTTCATCATCCTATTAGTTTTCTTAACAATTTTACTGATCTTTGTCTGTGTCTTCTTCTCCATGGTCTTCGACTTCATAAATTTAAATACTCTCTCAACTTTACCCTTTTCTCACTTTGCCCCTCTTTACTTTTTCTTTCTTTTCCTGTGTTTATTCCATTCACTGCTAGAGTGCTTCAGTTATACCTATAAAATTGACCCCAAATTGTATATCAAGCCCTTCTTATAATTTGAGCTTTGGAAACCATTTTTAACTCCTCATACCTGAATAATTAATAAACTCAACATTTTAAAACTTAAAATGTCATCTTTGATTTTTGTCTTTTTTTAAATACATTTTTTCAACTTTTATTTTCTATTCAGGGGGTACATGTGTAGGTTTGTTACTCCGGTATATTGCCTATATTGCATAATGCTGAGGTGTGGTTATGTATTATCCCACCACCCAGGTACTGAACATAGTACCCAATAGATAGTTTTTCAACCCTTGCCCCTGCCTTGTAATCCTCATTTCTATTGTTGCCATCTTTATATCCATGAGTATTCAATGTTTACCTCCCACTTATAAGTAAGAACATGTGGTATTTGGTTTTCTGTTCCTGTGCTTAATATAACAGCCTCCATCTGCATCCATGTTTCTGCAAAGGACATGATTTTATTATTTTTATGGCTGCATAGCATTCCATGGTGTATATGTACCACATTTTCTTTATCCAGTCCACCATCATGGACAGGTTGATTGTACGTGTTTGCTTTTGTGAAAAGTGTGACAATGAACATGCGAGTAAATGTGTGCTTTTTGTAGAACAATTTGTTTTCTTATGGATATATACCCAATAATGGGATTGCTGGGTTGAATGATAGGTCTGTTTTAAGTTCTTTGACAAATATCCAAATTGCTTTTCACAGTGACTGAACTAATTTATGTTTTCACTAATAGCATAAAAGCATTCCCTTTTCTCTGCAGTCTCACCAACATCTGTTTTGTTGTTGTTGAGATGGAGACTCGCTCTGTTGCCCAGGCTGGAGTGCAGTGGCATGATCTCGGCTTGCTGTAACCTCCACCTCCCAGGTTCAAGCGATTCTCCTGCCTCAGCCTCCCAAGTATCTGGGATTACATATGTGTGCAGCCACACCTGGCAAATTTTTGCATTTTTAATAGAGATGGGGTTTCACCATGTTGGCCAGGCTGGTCTCAAACTCCCGACCTCAAGTGACCTGCCCACCTTGGCATCCCAAAGTGCTGTTCTGTGATTACAAGCGTGAGCCACCGTAACTGGTCCTGTTGTTTTCTGACTTTTAATAGTAGCCATTCTGACTGGTGTGAAATAGTATCTTACTGTGGTTTTGATTTACGTATCTCTAATAATTATTGATATTGAGCAGTTTTTCATGTCTGTTGGCTGCTCGTATGTCTTATTTTGAGAAATGTCTGTTCGTGTCATTTCCCCAGTTATATTTTTTGTCTTTTGCTTGTTCAATTGTATAAGTTCCTTATAAATTCTAGATATTAGACCATTGTCAGATACATAGTTTTTAAATATTTTCTCCCATTCTGTAGGTTGTCTGTTTACTCTGTTGGTAGTTTCTTTTGCCGTGCAGAAGCTGTTTAGTTTAATTACGTTTCATTTGTCATTGTTTGTTTTGGTTGCAAATACTTTACAGAACTTAATAATAAATTATTTCCCAAGGCTGGTCCAGAATGGTGTTTCCTAAGCTTCTTTGAGGATTCTTAACAGTTTCAGTTCTTACATTTAAATATTTAATCCATCTTGAGTTATTTTTTGTATATGGTATAAGGAAGGGGTTGAGTCTCATTCTTCTGCATATGGCTAGCTAGTTATACCAGCACAATTTATTGAATAGGGAGTCCTTATTCATCATTTATTCTTGTGGACTTTGTCAAACATCAGATGGTTGTAGGTGTGTAGCTTTATTTCTAGGTTCTCTATTCTGTCATTGGTCTATGTATCTGTTTTTGTAGCAATAGCATGCTGTTTTATTTACTGTAACCTTATAGTATAGTTTGGTAATGTAAAGTCCGGTAATGTGATATCTCTGGCTTTGTTTTTTTTGCTCAAGATTCCTTTGGCTATACAGACTCTTTTTTGGTTTCATATAAATTTTAGAATAGTTTTTTTCCTAATTCTAGTTCTATGAAAAATGACATTGGTAGTTTGATAAAAATAGTGTTCAATCTGTACATTCTTTTGGCGATATGGCCATTTTAATGATATTGATTTTTCTTATCCATGAGCATAAAATATTTTTCCATTCATTTGCATCCTCTATGTTTTGTAGTTCTCCTTGTAGAGATCTTTCACCTTAGATTGCTAGAGACTCAATAAGATCCAGGAGAAGTTTGAAAATCAACACAAAAAAGTTCTAAAGCAATCAGGGAAATGAAGGAAATGAAGGAAAAGATAGACACTTTAAAAAGGAATTCATCAGAGCATCTGGAATTGAAAAAACTAATGAAGTAATTTCAAAATACAATTGAAAGCTTTACCAATAGACTATATTTTTTAGAGTTTTAGGTTCATCGCAAAATTAAGTGGAAGGTACAGAGAGTTCCCATATACTCTGTGTACCATATATGCACTCTCTCTACCATTATCAATATCCCCCATCACAGTGGTACATTTGTTACAATTGATGAACTTACATTAAAACATCATTATCACCAGAGTACATAGTTTAAATTAGGGTCAACTGTTGGTGGTGGGAATTCTATGGGTTTGGGCAAATTTATTATGACATGGTTCCACCATCATAGTATTACATTGAGTGAGTAGTTTTACTGCCCTAAAAATTATCTGTGCTCTACCTATTGATCCCTCCCTGCCCTCTAACTCCTTGAAACCACTAATATTTTTACCATCTCAGTAGTATTGCCTTTTCCATATTTAGAATCATAAAATATGTGGGAATCATAGAATATGTAGCCTTTTCAGGTTGGCCTCTTTCACTTAGTATTACACATTTAGGTTTCCTCCATGTCTTCTCATGGCTTGATAGCTCATTTATTTTTAGCCTTGGACAATATTCCAATGTATGCATGTGTGGCAGTTTATTTATTCATCCATCTACTGAAGAACATCTTGGTTGCATCTAAGTTCTGGTAATCATAAACAAATCTACTTATAAACATCCATGGGCAGGTTTTTGTGTGGATACACATTTCCAACTCTTTGGGTAAATATCAAGGAGTGTGATTGATAGATCATATGATAAGAGTATGTTTACTTTGGTAAGAAACTGCCAAACTGTCTTCCTAAGTGGTTGCACAATTTTGCATTCCCATCAGCAATGAATGAGAGTTCCTGTTGGTCTCCATCCTCACCAGCATTTGGTGCTGTCAGTGTTCTGAATTTTGGCCAATCTAATAGGTGTGTAGTGGTATCTCACTGTTGTTTTACTTTTCATTTCCCTGATGACATATGATGTGGAATATCTTTTCATGTGTTTATTTTTCATATGTATTTTTTATGGAGGTATCTGTTAAGATCTTCATCAGTTTTTAGTGAGGTCATCTTTCTTTAAAAACCAGTAAATAATAGTAAAGTGCCAAGCAGTGTTCTAGGTGCTTTACATAAATTAAGGGGTACATTCTTGCAACAACCTTCTGAAGATACTATTTCTTAAAATCATTCCTATTTTAGAGATGGAAAAACGGAGCCACAGAAAGTTTTAGTGGCTGTGATCACACAGCTGGCAAATAGTAGAGCCAGGATTTTAGATTGAGCAATCTAGCGCTACAGTTCTTGGCCTTAACTACTTTGCTTTGCTGTAGCTCACGATTTCCCTTACCATTTTTTTTAACTGATTTTATTGTCATCGTCCTCACCCCAACCCTTATAATCATTTTTGATTTTTTTCACACCTCACCCCACTTCTCACATCAAATCAGTTGCAAGTAAACAAGATTTTTACTTCTACCACTTCAGATTTGTTTTCTTTTTTTTTATTAGTAGCAGGACTCCTTTCCTGACTCCAATTTAGGACTGAAGAGATTAATGTTTCTACAGCACAGTTCTAATGCACTTTCTGCTTTTTATTTACCATAGGGTGGAAAAAGACTTTTAATCTTGAATTTATGGCTCTCCACAATATGGTCCCTAACTACTTTTCTAAGATTATTTATCATATTTCTAATGCACTAGATCCATATATCAGCCATACTGAACTGAACTATTCATTCCTGTGTGGAAACCTTCTCATTGAAGTCTATCCCTAATCTCAGAGCTCTTCATTTTCTGGTCCTCATGCACAGAAGTATAATCTCTTTGTTAATTCTTGACTTTCCTAATTACAACTCAGCCACTAGCACTATTGATCACCAATATGCAGGGTCAATCATGATCATTTTAGGTGTCAAAATTAACTAACTGATATATAAAGAGTGTTATTTTGTGGTAAGAAATATAAATAATTAATAAAAAAGAAATATAAATGGTCATAAGCCAATGAAATATTCAACATTGTTTATAATAAAATAAATTTATGTTAAAACAATTGGCAAGGGTATATGAGATAGTCAGCCCCATAAACATATGGTAGTACTTACCATCTAAATTGCTTCAGCCTTTTGGAAATCAGTTTATGAATCTGAAACAAAAGATTATAATAACAAACAAAGAGGAAATGTGTAAATATCCAACACTATGACAGTCACCATATTAAACATGGTATATATATTTTATTCAGTGTTATATGATATTTAAAAATAACAAACTACATTTATACCTACTGAAATTGAAAGGTCTCTGAGATAGATTGTCAAGTGGAAAAGGAGAATGATACACATCATATTTGTATCAATATATACAGACAAAATACCTGGTACCCTGTTACTGTGATTACATAAATTGGTATATAAATACACCAAAAACTCTTGCATTGTTGAAATTATATTTTAAAATGCTTATGTACTTTTTTGTGGTTGATCCTCTTCTAGGATGACTTTTTGGGCAGATAATCAGGAAATACACAAAAGTGCATATATGTTTATGGTTAAATTATAATATACTAACTTTACGGCCCAATATTGGACCAATGTTGATATGGTTTGGCTGTGTCCCCACCCAAATCTCATCTTGAATTCCCACATGTTTTGAGAGGGACCCAGTGGGAGGTAATTGAATCATGGGGGCAAGTCTTTCATGTGCTGTTCTCTTGATAATGAATAAGTCTCACTAGATTTGATGGTTTTAAAAAGAGGAGCTCCCCTGCACAAGCTCTCTCTGTTTGCTTGCTGCCATCCATGTAAGATGTGACTTGCTCTTCCTTACCTTGTGACATGATTGTGAGGCTTCCCCAGCTACACACAGGACTGTAAGTCCAATTAAACCTCTCCCTTTCGTAAGTTGCCCAGTCTTAGGTATGTCTTTATCAGCAGTGTGAAAACAGACTAATACAAATGTTAAATGAATTTTAGTACATTCTTATTATGCTTTGAAAGTTATTTTTTTAATTATTTAATAACAGTGTAAGTGCTTATAATATAATGCTATAAAACTATGGTTGTAGTTTTTATATCCACTGTCAAACATATGGCCTGGCACTGTTGAATAAATATTGAGTGAATAAATTTGTGTATAGTATATTTTTAATTGGAAAAAGAAGAGAAAGTCTGCATGCTTAGAATTTAGAAGGAAGTTAGCTAAAAATTAAACAGTAGTCATTAATGGGTTTTGGGTGTAAGAATATATTTTGAATATTGCCTCATTCACATACGTGTTTCTTCCAGAAATGGCCATTTGTTGTGGTAGGCAAAATAATAGTCAAACAAATATGTCTACATCCTAATTCTCAGAACCCATTAATATCTATCTACATGGTAAAAGAAACTCTACAGATGTGATTATGGTTAAAAACATATTGGTGTGTAGATTATCCTATATTATCCAGGTTAGCTCCACCTAATCATATGCATCTTTAAAAGTGAAGAACTTTCTCCTGCTATGCTGAAAGAGAAATTTGAGACAATGTAAAAAGGTTCAGAGAGACATTAGATTCCTGGCTGTAAAGAAGGTGGAAGGGATCCTCAACTCAAGGAATGTGGATGGACTTCAGAAGCTGGGAATAGCAAAGAAATGGATTCTCTTCTGGAGCCTCCATAAAGGAATACAGCCATGCCAAGACCTTGATTTTAGCTCAGTCAGAACAGTATCAGACATCTGACCTAAAGAACTAGAAGATAATAAACTTATATTGTTTTAAGTTAGTAAGTTCATGGTAATTTGTATGACTGCAATAAAAGCCAATGCATTTCTGAATAAAATTAATGCCAAATATAGATATGCAAAAAGAAAAAAATCTCTAATTCCACACATAGATGTAACTACTGTAACTGTATGATACATACATATACTTCAAGTCATTTTCATACATACATATATATGACACACATCTCAGTAGTTAAAGGCAACTTCATTCTTCTTCATGTTGTGCAGGTCAAATTCCCTAAAATGGTCAATGACTTTGTCTTCCCTTTTCAGATACCACATTCAATTAATCAGATATAACTTTGTAATAATCTGACCACTCTCATCATCTCCCTACACTACCTAGTCAAAACCACTATTATTCTCTCATTCAGATTATTTTTCAGTAGCCTCTTAATGCTTCTCCATGAATCCACACTTGCTTTTTTATAGTCTATTCATCATATTGTCCCAGATTGATACTTTACAGATATAGGTTAGTAACCTACCAAAAATGACCCCTCTCACTGAAAGTAAAAACTAAATTACTTACAGTGGCTTACAGGGCCCTGTAAAGATGACAGCCCTCAGCTGCTTCTCCTATCACATATTCTATTACTCTCACTGTTGGTCAGTCTCCTCCCACCATAATGTGTTCCATGTTTTGTTATGCAAATATCGATCATGTTTGCAAAACAGAATTAAATCAAAGTTAAAGTAAGCAAAGAAGCTTTATTGCAAGGCAAAAATAAATTCTGAAAGCGAAGTTAGAGTGGGCTGCTTGAGAATGAGACAGCACCAACTGGCACTAGGGAAACTCCATTTATGGGGGTTTTACATGATTATTTATACAGAGGCGGGAAAGAAGTGCTGCTATAATATTAAGCATGTTGCGGGTGGTTTTCAGGCCTGCATGTGCAGTGGCGGTACATAGTAGTACATTATATCTTGTGTCATTAGCCTCTTAATTCTCCATCCAGGGGTGTGCTTCTTCTATTAGAATGAGCACAAGTTAGCCCAAAGACGCTAATCATAGGTTATGATGCTTGCACAAATTTGGGAATTTTCCCTTCTGCTCCTCATCTTTCTCCTTGCTGCAGTATGTTCTAACCCCAAGACCTTGATGCAGTTTGTGCACTGTCAGGTGGTTTGTTTTCTCCATCAATTTGACATGTTTCTTGTTTTTGTTCAAGGGCAGCTAGGACCACCCTCTGTAATCTACCTCACCATCACCATAGTCTCCACCTGTTTACCCTGTCTTATTTTTCTTCACCACACCCACCATGCTGTGTAATATATTATGTATAATTTCAGGTATTTTATATGAAATTATTTTTATATGTATTTTATATGAAATTATATTTTATATGTATTTTATAAGCATATGCATGACTTTTTCTTTCTAGGATGTGCAATGTTGTCAATAACATAGATATTTGTCTCATGTTTTTGGAAGAAATTGTGAACATGTATATGAAATGGTCTCTTTCTAATATTTTTGTTATGTGTACTTTTTTGAGTTTGGGACTATTATGTCAAATGCAACCATGAACACTCTTGTTTATGTCTTCTGATACACATAGGTATGTGTTTCTACTGCACATATACCTAGACTCACTCATTTACTTTACATACTGTGGCCTCCTTCTACATAGACTTTTTATCTTTAATACTTGTCCTACACAAAGTCTATTTTAGTACATAATGGTATATTTATTGTTTCACTGTATATATTTGATATTATATATGTCATTTAAATTTCCATCCTATTTTATTTTTATTTGAATTTTTAATTTTCTGTGTTAGTGTTTTTTTTCTTAGACTTGTACCTCTATTCAAAATTGTAAAACTTGTTTTAAGTGTTGATAATCGTATCAGTTACCTTCGTTGGCTGTAAAGAATAAAACTTGTGTCTCACTAGTTTGGACAGAATAAACAATTTTTGGGAAAGGTATCAGTGGGATCATAGGACTGATAGGAAGGCTACAGAACCAGAATCAGAAAAAAAAATGTAGCTTCCAGGGAAGAAATAGGGGTCCAGGTATCAGAGAATATTCATCATGATACCACCAATAGAATAAATTAACTTAAAATGATTTTTCCGTTTTTTGTGTTTCAGGTATGAATTCACTAGTCTGGGACATACAACTACTCCTTGGCTAAGGAGAACAGGATGTTTTATTTACAGTCCTAC